>NC_000003.12:128251028-128402543 GCF_000001405.40 Homo sapiens | reverse complement strand
GGCTATTTACAGGCAGAGCGGGAACGCCAGGCTATCTGATTCCCAAGCCCGTTTGCTTACCCACTAAGGGAGCGGCACGTTTTTGAGAACTACAAAGGGCCTCTAAGACCAAGGGAGGCCAGCAGACCCATCCAGCATCTATTTGCTGCAGCAAAATGTTCTGTGGGACTAAAAGTGATACCTGAGAAGAGTTTAAAGTTACACAAAGAAAGACCTATGTTATAATGCTGATTCAAAAAAAATGCAGCAATCAAAATTTTTGGAAGAATTCTGCTGCAGCCCTGGGATGAAGGGAAAAGAGACCGGAAGACTGTCCATTTGGCTGTCAGGGGTCGGGAGTGGGTTGCAAGCACTGTTCCTTCTTTCTTCTTTTATGTATTTCCCAAGGCTTCTACTGTGACCCTGGGTTACTCACAGGGGGATGTCTATTACAGGCCCCCCATCACTGTGGCCTCCGGCATCCAGCTGGGAGCCCAGAGAAGGCACGGTGCCTACCGGTGCAATCTGGCTGGAACCTGCTCAATCCATGGCACACAGGAGCCGGGGAGGGGAGGGAGGGCCAGAAAGCTCGCTGACATCTCTAGGCCCATGGTGCTGTCTCTGCCATGCTCTGAGTCTGCCCAGGAAGGACAGGGACAAGAGGTAAGGTAGGGGTGGTGATGCTCATGACTCCTCCATGGCTGCTGGAAGTTCAAGGTCCCCACACTGCTGCTCTGCTGCTTGCATCAAGGGCAACGACTGGGAGGTGTGGGCGCAGGAATCCACCGTCCTCCAGCCCTGCCTCGCTGCCTCCTCCCTCATCCCACCTGGCTATCCCAAGGATTGCTCTAGGGTCCGGGTCAGACATCTAGACCTGGCTCCACCAACAGAAGCGTCTATTCTCTTTCTGGCCTCTCTCTCAGCCTCACCCCTCCTCCCTCTCTGACGCCATCATGTACCATGCTTCAGCTATAAGAAGCCAAGCAGGGCCTTGGAATGTGTGGTTCCCTCTGCCTGCCATGCTCACACTCTGATGCTGCCCCTTGGGAAGGTGCCCCTCAGCTGCCCAGCCAAGTGAGATCCTCCTGGGTGCCCTGCCCAGCACCACTGTGGCTGTCATTGCCTTATATGCCTGCCTCCCCCAGTGGCCTGTGAGGGGGCACCTCTCCAGGATTGTGTGCAGGGCCTAGCACACGGGCTCAGGGAGGTTTGATGAAAACAAAGGGAATGAGTATGGATTCATCCTCACAAGCACTCACAGCAGGGGTGCAGGACAGCGGAGGGAAGAAAAATGCCCCAGCAGGGCAGGACCCCTGCCTCCAGGACCAGAAAACACCTGTCTGCCCTTGAGTGACCCAAGGGAGAAAGAAGTCCAGGCTCGGGTCTCAGGCTGACCTGGCCCCCTGGTCCCTCTCCCATGTGCTGGAGGGTGGCTCTCTACCTGGCAGGGTGGGCTAGGGTGTGTGTGTGCTACATGTACGTCTGTCATTCAGTAGGGCCTCTTTTTTCCCAAACCTCAGGATTCTCGGAGCCTATGGCCCTGCTCCACCCCCTGATGAACCCAAACCCCAGGATGCAGTGGGGGCGGGCGGCCATGACCCTGGGGGCAACACTGCTCCTCATGGCTTCCCGTGGAGACACTCTCCCAGGGCCAGGCTGGCCCTTTCTCACCAAGCGCCAGCTCCACACAAAGGCACAATGGGCTGCAGGCTGCCGGGTCCTGGCTTGGGCTGGGGTAATCAGGGAAGAATGCGGGAAGCACAACTGTTTCCCAAGCCCTAGCCATGGTGCCGCCCTGACATGGCCATCAAAGGCCGGCAAATTGCCTCCAATTGCTGGCGTTGCTTTCATGTTGGGGGCCAGACTGGAAGAGGGGTCTCCACGCTGGTGGGTGGCTTGCATGCCCCAGTGGGAACTGAACCCTTGCAAGCAGCTTGGGGTCACTGGCCCCTTTGTGGCCCTGTGGGGCTGGGGCCGCTCTAGTCACTCCAGCACTACCCACTGCTGTAAACAAGCAGTTTTGGAGAGGGTTGGAAGAGAGCCAGAGCCAGGGGCAGGGGATCTCTTTGGGGTCAGCATCCTGGTGATGACTGACAGCTGGGAGCCTAAATGGCAGGTGGGGCTGATATATGGGATGGCCAGGCTGGACAGCCACAGAGGGCCTTGGATTCAGCCAGGCTCCAGTCTGAACTGGATACTGGGCCCTAGGAACAGGAGGGGCTGCCTAGCAAGGCCACCCCCATCAGCAGGGGCCATGGGGCAGCTGGGGTGGAGCCCTGTCCCTCAACAGGGTGCTGGTGGGCTCCAATGTCAAGTTCCCCTCCACCCCAAGGTAGGAAGCTGCCCTGCACAGGCCACAGGTGGTCACGGAGGTGTGTGGGTGGCACAGTGCTCCAGTGAGACCTCTAAGTCAGGGCGTGGCTGGAGGCAGGCCTGGCCAAGAGGGAGCTGCCCCCAAGGCCAGGGGTGGGGAGACAGAAAGAAGGGGGAACCTGGCAAGGGCAGAAGTGTCCCTAATGTGGGGCCTGGCGGTCATGTCTGAAACGCATGGAGGCTATGGTTGACATCAACACCCCCATCTATCAGCGGCCAGCCAGGCTCATGGAGCTGCAATGACTTGCCCTGGCTTCCTGGCAGTTGTGGTGCAGCTGAGTCTGAATGCAGACCCCTCTGCCTGCTAGCAGGGCAGGGCAGCCCGGGCCCGGAGGACAGGCAGAGGCGATGAGGGTTTAGCTCTAACACAGACCCGGCTGGGGACAGAGAGGCCCAGGAGGACAGGCCTGGCAGGGCTGGGGAGAGCCAGGTGGGCAGAGAGAGCCAGTGTGAGCGCTCCCTGAGAGGGGACAGCCCTGACACCAGTCTCCTCTGTGAGCAGTGACAGCGACTCTGGAATCCTCCAGCCACCTCTTTGTCAGGCTGGGCTCTTCTGTTTTCCTGGGGAGCTAAAGCCTTTAACGTCGCTGGCTGGGGGGGGCCGGCTCCTTGGTTTTCTCTCCTTCCCTCCCAGCTATGGATCCCGTATGTAAACAAAGATGCAATTTGCTTTAAAAAGATAAGGTGATTAAGTTTTTATCAGACCTGTACTCTGCTGTCCCTGCAACAAAAGGAATTAGGGGGAAGCAGGCGGCGGAGCGGGCCCTTCGCAGGAGCCTCGCTCTTTCCGAGGCTCTCAAGCGCGCACTCGACGGGCTCATGCACCCCTTTGATTGGGCGGAAGCGTAGGCAACCAGCGCCCCGCACCCCCATTTTGATGTCTTAATGTTGCCTAATTCCTCCTTTAATTTACATTAAGCTTCTTAGCAGCAATGATGAATTCTTCAAAAACAAAAAAGGGCCCTTTGCAGAAATCTTTCCCGCACCATGTAAATTGAAATTATCATGCAGTCAAAGCTGTGGAGATTGGGGAGCGTGGGGAGGGAACACCAGTGCATTATGCGGATGGAAGGGTTTTTTTTTATTTTATTTATTTATTTATTTATTTATTTATTTTTTAAGGCAAAAAACAAATCCATTCTGAAATAGGCAGAAAATGACTTGGCCCTGAGTCTCAATTATACAGGGAGGGGCAGCCTCTGCGGAGGAAAGTTTGTTGTCCTAAATTCTCAGTCCCTCTGGGACTGGCTGGACCAGCTGCCTCCTGAAGGGGCTGCTGCAGGGATAGCCCCCATCCCTCATCAGCGGAGTCTCAGCCTACCCCTCTGGAATGGGATCCCCCACCCTGTGGAGTGGCTGTGAGGCCTCCGTGAGGTGCATTCCTAGTGCAGCCAGCCCTGCCCCAAAGGTTACCTTCCTTGCTGTGCAGGCCAGAAGCTCAGGCTGGGGCTCACACAGCTGCGAGTGGGGCGCCTGCCCAGCCTCTCGGGACAGCTCAGAAGGTGGTTTGCCACAGGCTCCTTGGAGGCTCCTGCTCTAGGTGTCCCTGCAGGCCCGGCAGGGGCAGGTCCCTGCCCCAGGGCCCGGACACGGGGCTCCTGCACATGAGTGGCCAGGACCCTCTCCCACTGGTCTGTCCTTAGTGCTGTTGCCAGAGATTCTTCTAGGACAAAACCCCAACATTCCTCTCAGTTCAGCTGCTCACTGAAGACCTCTTCAGTCCCTCACAACCACTCAGACAGGGTCCCAATTCCTCTAAGGAGTCCCTCAGAAGCTGCCCCTACAGCCCTGCACATCCTTACCACACATTCCTCTTCCATCTCAGCACTGCCCCAGCCTCGGGACTGGCGCTCCCTCGGCCTGGGGAACCCATGACACTTGTCTATCTTGCCCGCTTCTGTCTCCCTTGGCTCTCTCGGCACAAGGCTCTGTAGCATCTTGGCTTGGCCTTCTCTGACGCCTGCCCAGCCTTCCCCTAGGGCCAAGGCCCCCCACACTCTGCCCTGAGTACAGATCCAATGCCCCCAGAGATAGTCAGGGCCTGCACAGCCCAGCAATGCCAGGAAGGGGCAGTATTGGTGACCTCAGCCCGTGTGCACCCCACCTCATCTGCCAATGGGGTCAGAGCTCCCCCACCCACCTTCTGGGCTCCTCATCACCCTCCTCCAGGCTGACAGCCTCCACAGGGTCCTGTCAGTGCACAGAGGCTGGGGGGTGAGCAGGTCTGCCGACCACCTACCAGCTGGGCTGATGGCAGAGGTGGGAGAACTGGACTGCACAGACTTTCCTGTCATCCCTGCAGGCAGTGAGCCTGCCTGCCCAGAACTAGGAGGAGGAATCAGTAGGGAGGCCTGGGCCTGGCCCCTTCCCTTGGGGCTCATGCCCCCCATCCATGGGCCAGAGCAGCTGGGTGGATGCCCGACTCCTCCGTCCAGAGAGAATAAGACATGCACTTGATGAGTAGAGGCCAGCTGGGCCAGAGCTGAGCTGCTTCAGTGGCAGTTTCCGGAAGGTGAGCCTGTGCATCTGTGCTTCTGGGGACCCTTCTGGCTGGCCCTGGGCGGGGCTGAGGTTTGACAAGTGTCTGGATGGGAAGGACACTGGACTGCAGCCCTGGGCAAGCTAGGCTCTGCAGATTGGCAGCTGGGATGCGGCTTGGCCAGAGGTCCCCTCTGCTGCTACCATTGCCACCCTCATAGTGACTGCCTTTCTAGCAGCCTCCTCCAAATGCCTCCCACTCAGCCAGGGGCTGCAAAGACATCATTTTATTCCAGCCTCAGGACATCCTACAAGTCACTTTACAGGCAGGCCCAGTGGTTGCCTGGGGTCACAACAGCTGGGAAGCCAGGGAGCAGCGATTCCCATCCAGGCCCCAGCTTCACAAAGCTGTCCACCCTGCCACGGGCCTGAGAGTCTGGCTACAGGGAATACAGCAGCCTGGATGGCAGTGCCATGGGTGGGGGGCAGCAGGGGGCTGCAGCCATCTCCTGTGGAAGGAGGGAGGATGGCAAGAGACAAGGGTGTGGGATCAACTGGGGACTCCCCCAACCAGAATGATGTTTCTTCCCACCCAGCATCTCCCAGGCCCAGGGCAGTGGGGCTGAGCCAGGTGGGGCCTTGTCTCCAAACACTTCCAGGGCAGAGGCCCAGGGTGCCTCTGTGTTGTGGGTACCAGTCGGGGGACCATTGGCAACCAGGACTGTGGGCTGCGGGGCCTTGCCACTGTGGAGACTGGCACTGAAAGCAGCCCAGATGGCCAAGAGGGGGCCTGACACAGAAAAGACCATCTTGTGTAAGGGAGGTCTGGCCCAAAATGCCCAAAAATGGGCACCAGCCAGTTCTCAACAATCACAGAAAGAACCCCAGTAGCAATCACAGCTAATGTTTGCTGCACCTTTACAGGCTAGGCACCATTCCACATGCTCCACAGACAACAGCAAACCTCAGTTCACAATCATGCTATTCACACACACCAGGAAACTGAGGCACAGAGCACTCAGGAACTTGCCCAAGGTAACACAGCAAGAACGTGGTGGGCCTGAGCTCAAACCCTTCACAGCACCACAGCCTCATGCCCAGTAGGCCATCCACCCTCAGGAACCAGTCCCAGCTCTCAGCAGCTGTGTGTCCAACTCCTGCATGGATGGGGGCTTTGGGAGGGCGGAGACGATCCCATTTGACAGTGTGTCCCAGTGCCTGGCACAGGGCTTGGGGTAGGAAGGATCAGAAAAGTGCTTTCTGTGCCTCAACTCATGTGAGGAGGGTACATTATCCACTCCATCATTGAGAGGTAGAAATGGAGGCCCAGGGACACAAATTGATGTGCCCAAGGTCACACAGTCAGTGGCAGAGAAGAGATCACATGTCCTCGCCAGTAGCTGGAGAAGCCCAGCTTCCTCTCCAGGTAGCTGGAGCTAGAGGAAGGGGCTGTCTCTCTTCTCCACTAGCGCCGCCAGCTGCCACCCTGTGCCTGTACTGTTGGTAAGCCAGGCCTGGTCCATGACATACATACACACACACAAACCACACACAGATACACATGTGCCTCTAGAATGAGGGACCCCCTAGAGGGCAGGGCCATTCCTTCAGCAGGTTCTGTTTGGTTGGAATGGTGGCTGTCCAGGCCATCTCAGGTCCTGAAGGCAGGCCTTGACACCTGCAGGGCAGGCAGGGATGACAGTGGTGCTGTCAGAGCCTGAGCTCTGTGCTCATGGCTGGGGTTTGGACACCAGGCTTGGTGACACAGCAGCTTGACTGGCCTGCTCGGAGCTTTGGTTTTTTCCTCAGTTGGGGTGAGGGATGGTGGGAATAAGACACATGGCCCGGCTCTCTCCAGGAAGCGCTTGGTAAAGAGAGGCCACTGCCATTCTGATCATGGCTGTGGCTGAGGGTGCTGTATCATTGTGTCTCCGTCAGCTCGGGGCTAACTAAGCTACAACTGAGGCTCAGCCCTCTGCTGGGCCCCGTTCCTGGCTGCTGATTGGCCTGGGTGTGCTGGGCTGTGCACTGGACAGACACCGCCTCATTGCACGGCCACGATCCCCTGTGAGGGAGGCCTGGCAGGAGTCCCACTCTGCTGGGAGGAAGCTGGGCCTGACAAAGAACAGGGAAATGCAGAGCTAGTTTTCTCCTCTTTTTGTTCTCTCACAGGCATCTTGAGATAGAGGGAGACTTGGATGCAAACCACCCATGACAGCAGTGAAAAGCCCTGGGAAGAAAGGGAAGGAGCCACAGACAGTCACACCCGGGCATTCAGAGGAGGAGGAGGAAGGAAGCTGGGGTCAGGAAGACTGTGGTGGAAAAGGTGACATTTCCCTGGGCAGGTCTCAGTGAGGCAGCATGGCCTCAATGGAGCAGTGGGTCAGGCAGGAGTGGGCCACTGATGGCTGCCCTGCTGAGGCCCTGGCTGAGGGTCTGGGAGCTGACCCACTCCCCATGGCTCCCGTTCTGCCTTCTGGCCCGGAGGCCTCACACACATGCTGAAACCTCCTGTCTGCTTGTGACGCAGGGATAACAGGCGCCTGACCTCCTGATGCTGTGAGGATGCTGGGGACGTGTCTAATGAGGGGGACAGGCCTGCCCGGGGTCATAGATGCTCTAGGGACATAAGGCCCCATGCTGCCAGCAGCACAGGGAGGACACTCCCCTCGCTCATGGCCGTGGAGACCAACGCTGCATGCAGAAGTCCTGGCACACAGAGTGCTCGGTTAGTGGCCCTTTCCCTCTCTCCTTCCTTTGTGCCCAAACCCAATGGCTGGCCAAGGGGAAGGAAGGGCTTGCTTCAACCAAGGGTGCAGAGGCCGGGCCAGGATGCCCTTCTGACCACACAGCCATATGCTCTCAGGCTGTCCTCTGCTCCCCTGTGGGGCTAGGACTCACCCCAGCCTGCCCCTTCCAATGAAAGAAAAGGCTGTGGCCAGAGGCAAGGATGGGCCCCTCCTGCAGGCGGCCCTCCTCCTCAGACAGCCCCCCAAGGCTGGCCATTGGGGGAGCATGGTTCCTGGTGGCCTCCCGTGGAGCTCCATCCCCACCAAGGGAGCCGAATTTTAATACTCCAAACACTCACTCCCTAAATGTGTATACTCTTTAACAGCAGTTAATCTTCAATTAAAATACCTAGAGCAGAAACTAAGATAACTGGTTTAAAAGGTAGAGCTTATTGACAATAAAAGTCTTCTTCATATTGCTTTTCTTTAAAAAAAAAATCCACATATTAAAAATGTCATTTTTATGACTTGGTGGGGGAAAAAAACCGTCTAGAATAATGAAGGCGAACAAAGGCCCGGGGAGCAGTCATTTTCCAGAGCCCATATGTAGCACCCTGATTACTGTATCAGCCCTGTTCCCAGAGCAGAGCGAGAGGCCGTGGGCAGGCGGCGGTGCTGGCTGTCCTCTTGCTGACAGGGGAAGGGCAGGGGTGGCGTGGCATCTCTGGTCCCCACCCACACTCCTGATTTGAAAGCTGCAGACTCCAACAGTCTATCCCTCCCTGACCTGCAGGGGCTGAGGCCCAGGGTGAGCGTGGGTACAGGGGCTGGGGCCTGGCACCCTGTGTCTGTGCTGATGGCCATGTGCCCACACACTGTCCCTCGGAGGCAGATCCCAGAGGTGGCCTGTGGCTGCAAGGCCCAGGGGAGGCAGGTATGCCCATGGGCTGACCTCCGCACCCCCCGCCCCCGCCACCGCCCCACTGGAATGCCCACACGCTTTCTGATGCTGGCTGCACTCCTGCTGCACACGTGTCACCCACTGGCCGTGTGTCCACCTCAGCTCTCAGGCCTATGTGACCAAATGGGTCCCCAATGCCCAGGACAGGGCCAGGCACAAAGCAGGTGCCCATAAGTGGCCACATCCTGGTCCCTGGCCCTGCACCTACCTCACAGCCCTCAGTACCTCCCACTGTAACTGCCTCTTGGCTCACCAGCCATGGACTCGGGCTCTCTGCAGTAGCCCCCTGGCCCAGTACTGTCCAGCATTGCTGCTGAGGGGCTAGAGGGCCTTGTCTAGTGGCACTGTGCGTCTTTTCTTCCAAAACACAGTCTGTGCCTCTGCCCTGGGCAGGTTGCATCTCTTAGTGGCCACAGGCTCAGATCCTGCATTGTGGCTGGGTGGGGGCTGTTTTACACCTGGGATATGCTGCCCCCCGGTCTTGGAGTGCATAGGCCTCAGCTTGGAGCACCTCTGGCCAGGTGTCCCTCTACCCTCAGAAGCCTGGGCTCCAAGGGCTAGTAAGGATGGGTCTTGGGGACAGAGCCAACACCAGTGAAACAGAGCTGGTGTTCATGTTTCTGCAGCAGCGTGAACGCCAGGACTCCCATCTGGGACACACCAGCGTGTGTACCAAAAGGACAGCTGTCATCATGGCCTCTTTCCCAGGTCTGTCCCTGTAGCAGCCAGGCCAGTACCCTGGAAAGGTGCTCAGCTCTGCAGGTGCCTGGGGGGTGGTGCACTGAACTTCAGCCTCCTTGTCTGTGAAATGGGTCCTGCTGTTATGATGGGGAAGGGGGAAGCCCTCAGAGAGGGCCTGAGATAGGGAGGGCCCCACAGAGGGCTCTGGAAAGAAAGCTTCTTCTTTGTTTTTTAAACAAAGTATGTGGAAGCCTTAAAGGCCAGGTGCCTGGGCGCTGGGAAAAGCTGCCACCTCCTGCTCCTTCCCATGGACACATGGCTGCCACATGTGGGCCTCTGACAGCAAGGCTGGGCTCAGAGGAGGCCCCCTGTCTTCTGAAGACCCTGAAAACCAAGGGAAACCAGGGCCACAGGAGACAGCAAACACTGAAGGAGGTCTGGGGAGGGGGCTGTACCCACCACCCCCTTCCCTGCTCATGGTGCCCCACACCAGCCCGAGGGCACGTGGAGCCAGCAGACAGCGAGCCTAGGGCAGCACCCGAGCAGCCTGTGTGTGCCAGGCCCAGCCTCTGTCATCCCCCCACACTCTCTCAGGTGGGCACAAGTAGGCTCAGGGGTGAGGCGGGAGTGGTTGTGCACAGTGGTCTGGGCAGCATGCTGGGAAGGGAGCTTGGCGTGAGGGGCAGCCTCCTGTCACTTGTTTGGCTCTGTGTGGGGCCAGGGATGCTCTGGGTCAGGGCAGCAGCAATGGCACTGAGTGCCCATGACAGCTAGGCCCTAAGCGAGATGCCGCGTGCCTCGGCCCATGGAAGTAGATCCTGTCCAGAATACAGGTGGATGGCAGGTTCTGTCACGGGTGAGCTGAGGTACCCTGGGTCCCCTCGCCTATTACAAGGGGACAATGACCCTGCCTCCCTGGGCAGGCCCCGTCTGTGCAAGACTGCATGCCTGGTGGGCAGGGCCCACATGTGGAACCCTGCTCCCCGGTGAGGAACAACCAGCTGACATGGCATGAATGACTTGCGTCAGTTCCCACAGCCAGGACATAGGGGGCCTGGCTTTGAACCTAGGCGGCTGGCTCCAGAACCTGCATCTGCAATGTCTGCTGCCCTCACGGGGGGCTGGTGCGGGTCTCTTCTGCCTAACTCCCACTCTGGGTCCCGCATGCCCTGGCTCAGAGACAACAGAGGCTAGCACTGGGCATGAGGGCTGCCAGCAGGCTGTTAAGAGCTGCAGATCCCTACCCCAGAACACATAGCTCTGCCCTCAGCTGGCCACCTCACTCTTGCAAACTGGGTGAAGAGGAGCAAAGGATCACCATGCTCTCCGCAAAGACAGGACCCAGGGAAGCCACGGCTGGGGCACACTCAGGCACTCGCCCTTCTGGAAGCGCTTGCAGACTCCCTCCAATGGCCCCCACAGGGCATCCATGGTGCTGGGCGCCTCCCTCTGGCACAGCACAAGCAGAAGCTCACTCCTGCATTCGTTGCTTGTCTTTCTGCCCATGATTGCCCTCAGAGCACCCGCTGGGCACCAGGCACTGTCCCAGACTCTGAGGACTGCCTGAGTGGGCCAGGTGGGGCCGCTATGCTGGTGGAGTCCACAGTCCAGGGGGTGCAAGACCCACATATATGTGTAGAGAAATGTGCAAAGGAATGAGAGAGCACCTGATAGGAACGGGTGCCAGGAACCAAACTTTAAAAATGTGCTGAGAGAGAAGAGCCCATCGGTGAGGGTCAGGGAACTGGGAGCATTGGCTTGCTTCAAAGCGCTTGCTCTATCACTCACTCCTGCCATGCCTGGACTCCACCACACCCTGAGCAGGCCTGGAGGGCACCACCACGACAGTCGTGGCCATGTCCTCCCTGCCTTCCCCAGATGGGCTTCCCCACTTGGTCACCAGCCAGGGCCCAGAACCTCGAGGTTGGAAACACCTTTGGTGGTCAACTGGGAGGCCACCCCAACCCAGGTGTGGGGCTCTTCTGCCTCTGGGGAGACAGATGGGAGGCTGCTGTCCTGAAGAGCTCTCCATAGCTTGGGGCGGGAGACCATTTCGTTTCTTGCCTTTTGGAATTAATGAGCACAGCACCAGCCACTGCTTTAGAGGGCAAGGAACTGTGGTTTGGAGAATGCCATGGCTGACCCAGGCCAGGGAGTCTGTGCATTCATTTAATCAAGAATGCTAGCGAGCACCTACTCTATGCAGGCATGCACCGGGGGCGGGGCTGCAGAGGTGAGGGAATCACGCAGGCCCAGTGTGGGCGTTCTGGTGGGAGACAGGCGATGCCAACACATCCATGTGTCGTATGACAGGTGGTGCCAGCTGCTCGGGAGAGGGGAGTGTCAAGAGGGTGTTTTGCTCCTTTAGATAGTGATCAGCAAAGGGCCCAGGGTGGGATGACATCTGAACAGGGACTTGTGAGGGATGAGGACACTGGGAGGGAAGAACACCCAGCCTGAGGGCGCCAAGCAAAGGCCCCAAGGGCCAGCACTGGGGCCAGCGTGTGGGGAGAGCAGGAGATGGAGCCGGGGTGATCATGGGGTATGAGGGTGTGTTTGTGTGGGTGCCCGAGTGGTGCAGAAAGTGGGGTCTCCTGCTAGATCTGCAGAGGGGCTGGGTCTGGCTCCTGAGGGCAGGGGCCCTCTGGCTGCCTTGGGCCCTGGGCACAGACCACAGCATGGAGCAGGGAGAAGAGGTAGATTGTGGCCGCTGTGTCCTGTGTCGCTTCCAGCCCAGGCCTGCAGGGCCCACTCCAGCATGACTGTCTGTAGAGAACAGCAAGCAAGGGCCTCTCTCTTTCAGACACAGAAGCCCAAAGCAACTAACATTCTGGGTTAGGTTTTTTCATTTGGCGAAGGTGATTCACATCTGTCTCACCCCCTTCTGTGGTGGTCAAAGCTCTAACCCCCTCTACCTCCCAAAATACAGTGGCAAAGAGGCGAAAAGGTCCCTTCCCCACATGCACCCCTCCTGAGCCTGGCTGTGCTTGTTCCTGGGCCCATGCCCATCTCACAGCCAGCTCTCCCCAGCAAATGCCACCTCCTCTATATAGTACACATTAACAGAGCGGACAGGTGAGAGGATGAATGAGGAGAAGTGACTGCACAGATCACTCCACTGAGTGACCCCAAGTCCCACTTTTGTGTTAATCATGACTTTGAGTTGTCACAACAATGTAAATTATATCCAGGAGAAACAGTCCCAACTATGGGACTGTTCATGAGGCAAAGCACTTTCACAAGATGCAGATAAATGTGATGATACGAGAAAAATTTAGGGCCAGCGCCTTCTATTTTAAAATAGTTGTGTGGTGGTAGCATACCCATGACACTGGGCCTCCCTGCCTCCAGGACCCAAATCCAAATCCACAGCATCTTACGGGCGCTGCCAACTCAGCCACCCCTGCAACCGGACTCCCAGCTTCTGCTACCAACATGGAAAGAAGGTGGGACTGGATCCACGTGGGCTAGGCTTGACCGGCTAGGTGCTCTCTCAAGCTAGTTAGTTCACATCTGGGGCCTGCCCTGCCCATTCTGCTGGAGCAGCCTCAGTCCACACCACATCACTCTGCTGGCAGATGAGGCTCTCGGCGTTAAGCCAAGGCCTCCCTTTCCCAAGGTCAAGCATGCCATGCTCCCTGTTGGGGTGGGTCCATGAAACAACCACGTCCAGTGAAAACCAAAAACCCTCCCGATCTTCCTGTAACTGGACTTGTTTATAAACCAGGCTTCCTGCAGCAAGGCGGCCAGCCTCACCCAGCAGCGTGGGCTCAAGGATGGTCAGGGGTTGTTCCCAAGTGCCCAAGGTGGGCCTCTTCCAGGGGGATAGCCAGAAACCTGGGCTCTAGGCCTGGGTTTACCACCAACCACTTGTGACTTAGGAGGCCATGTGGGCCCTCTGGGTGGAGTCCTCATATGGCAACCAAGGCTGAACAGAAAATCTGTCTGGGATGGCTGAGACGGTGCCAGGCAGGACCACTCTGTGTGGGGAAATGTGGACATCGGATGACCTCCTGTGTCCTGTTATGCCCGCCCATCCCCAACCAAAATGCCTGCCAGAGTGGTGGGCGGCCTGGCTTGTCTTCCTCCTCTGCAGGGCTGTGATGTCCTCGGGTGAGTGTCAGCACCCTTGCTGCTCCAGATGTCTGCGCTCCCTCCTTAGCTGGGTTAAGATGCCTCGCTGCAGCACCTCTGCCTGCCTGCCTCCCTCCAGCCTCCATCCCCATGGCTCCGGCCACAGGACACCGCAGGCTGCCTCGGCCCAGGGCACACCGGCTCCCTTGCCTGGAACTCCTGCCCTACAGACTGCCCTTCAGGTGGTGGCCCCAGCTGACTACCTCTTGTGGCTCCTGGGTCCCAGCACCACATGAGGCACAGGGACAGTCCAGGCAGTTCCTCAGGCTCCTGACCCAGAAATCAAGAGTGGGTGTCAGGTGGACTGAAGAGGCCCTGAAGAACCAACAGCAGACCTGCAGCTTGGGGACCCTCTACCTCTAGTCAGGAAGGCAAGACAGACAGCCCTCCTCCATTTCACGTCTTCTGGACTGAGTTTCAAAAAACACCCCTGCAAGGGCTCAGGGGCTAGAGGCAGCAGTTGGCCTCTCTGCTAGACGCTCTGGCCGGCACCACTGAAAGCACACAGTCGACCAGGAGAAGGCCTCGAAGAGGCAAAGGGATGAGGGGTACAGGCAGACTACACCAGGGAATGGGCCTTACACAGCAGTGGCCTCACTCAGCAAACTCAGGAGGCTCGGGCCAGGCCAGTCCCTCACTGGAGAGCAGTGGGTGCTGCAGTGGAGACACAGCCCACCTGGGCAGACATGTCACAGGCAGCCGGGGGCTCAGACCCCACCTAAACGGCAGTTACAGAGCGTGGACCCTGGCCAAGCCCGCTGCTGGTGGCTGCGGACTCATGGCAGGCAGATTGTTCCCTGTTCCCCACCCTGGAGGAGCTCGAAGGCAGAGATGGACTGTAGATAAATTGAGGGGTCCGAGAAGGGGTGTCAGGAAGCACTGGAGGGGGACTTGGCATGCAGGCAGCTAGAGGAGGTAGTGCTGGAGGCGAGTTAGTGGAGGCGGGGGCAAGAGGCTGCCAACAGGGCTGGACCCCTTCTGTGGCTGTCCCCAAGGAAGGCGACCAAATTGGATATTAAAAAAAGGAAGACTCTAAGAGCGGGAGCAATGGAAAGAGGAACAGAGCTCAGAGAAAGGACTTTTTTTCTCAAGTCGTGGTTCTGCCACTGCCAGTTCAGAGTGAGGACCTGGTGGGTGTAGGCTCTGGACAGGGCAACCCCAGGGGCTGGCTGGGCCACTAGGCCTCCTTCTCCTGGCACCCTAATGGCTGCACCTTACTTGAGCTTCCAGGTCTCTGCTCGTGGCACCCTCATGCCTAAATAGCCATCCAGTGCCTGCCCGTGCCCATCTAGAAAAGGCTGGCTGAGACCTACTTCCTCCAGGAAGTGCTCCATGCTGCCTGGGGCAGGCACATCAGGTGGGGGCTGCCAGGGCTCCAAACATGCAAGCGGGGCTCCATACACTCGCAGGGTTTGAGTGGGCCTCCATATGCGCGCAGGACTCCATAGGTGCACATTCCTTTCCCCAGCCCCAGTGGAGCCTGTAGGGAGGGGTCTTGGTGGTGCCACAGGGGCCAGCCCAGCCTGGCCCTGCCATCCAATGCTAAGCACACGTGACAAAGATCCTTCTTCGTGCCAGTCCATAGCCTCCTCTCCCATTCTGGGCTGAGCTGAGGAGAGGCCAGCAGCCGACTTAATTCAGGCTGGTATCTGTTCTCCCTGGGGTAGATTTCTCGCACCCTCAGAAGGCCCACCCGAGCCCCACTTCACGCATCAAAACTCTTCGACGCCCCCCAGACTTCCCAGATCTTTCTTGGCATCACGACTTTTGCGAGCCTGGACTCATGCACCTTTGTGTCTTGCCACACAGCACCTTCATTTCTGAACTTTGAAGAAGGTGTATACTTATCTTTCCTAAATAGTCAGAACTATTGAGAACTGCCAGGACATGTGGATATTTTTATGAAAGCAAAACTCAAGCATATGCTGGGCAGATGGGTCTGACCAGAAGGGACAGAACACTGCCTCTGTCCTCAGGAGCCACCTCCTGAGCCAAAGCCCCCCAGTCCATGGCTCCCATACCCCTGTGACCCCTGCAGCCCCTGCGGCCAGGTGCAGTACCAGTGGAGGAGCACAGGGCCGAGGAGGGTGGCTGGTGTTGCCAGCCCTGAGGGAGCTGCCCACGCGCCACCAGGCAAGTTGTCCATCCTCCTCACCTGGGCCCTGTGGTAATTCACAGAGCCAGGCCTATGAGGGGTGAGCACCTGGCAGCCCTGCCTGGGAGGAGGCTGCAGAGGCCAGCATATGATGTGGTTTGGATGTCTGTCCCCTCAAAATATCATGTTGAAATGTGACCCCCAGTGTTGGAGGTGGGCCTCGGGGGAGGTGTTAGATCATGGGCACGGATCCCTCATGAGTGGCTTGGTGCCCTCACCACAGTGATGAGTGAGTTCTCGCTCTGTGAGTCCATGTGAGAGCCGGTTGTTTAAAGGAGCCTGGCACCTCCTCCTCACTCTCTTGCTCCTTCTCTTGTCATGTGATGCACCTGCTCCCCCTTTGCCTTCCACAATGATTGTAAGCTTCCTGAGGTCTCACCAGAAGCAGATACGGGTGCCATACTTCCTGTACAGCCTTTTTAAAATTTTATTTTAAATAAATTATCCAGTCTCAGGTGTTCCTTTATAGCAATGCAGACTCACACAGCAGCCATGGGGCCTGGCTGTGCCACCATGAAGGCCTGGCCTCACTACCCTCAGCTGTGGTGTCACCTGTCACTGCATCCCCCCCCCACTGCCTGTCTCAGCTGATACCATATCCCACAGGGCTGGGGGCCCTGGGGAACTGGAGGGGATGTGCTCAGCATGGACAGAACACCCTGCTTTTCAAGAGAAACTGGAAATCTGGATTTTTTACATGAAAATTCCTGATTTTTGAGAACGTTTTCAGGGCATAGGTAGCCTGCAGCCTGCTAGGGTATGGCCCCAACTTGTAGGTCATTCTTTCTCTCCCTGGGGTAGATTTCATGCACCCTTGGAAGGCCCACCTGAACCCTACTTCACCCATCAAAACTCTCAAATCTCCCCCAGGACTTCCCAAATCTTTCTCAGCATCACTAGTTCTGCCATACCCATTGCCACCACTTCGACTATTTACTAAAGATTTCTTTAGTCAACTCATCTAACTCAATTAGAGAACATTCTATGCTGCCATAAGTGGAAATCCAGTCTCCCTTGACATAAATAGAGTACCTGTTAAAATCAACATGTAACTGTGAACATTCTTTGGGGGCTTATTTGTGGACTACCTAGAGTCATCCTGCACACGCCCAGGGTGGATGTGAGCAGCCCACTTGGGGAACTGCTGCTCATGTTCCACCGTGGGATGTTCCCTCCCTTAGAACCAGGCCTCCTTGGACTGTTCTGGGCTGACCTGCCTATCAGTGTCGTGCCCCAGGCCTCAGCCTCCTGCCTCTTGTTCCTCTGCCCAGATTCAGGCTAGGGAGCTGAGGGCTGCGGGCAGAGGGCCAGCCTCATGAGCCAGATCGTGAGTCCGGGTGAGGCCCTTGCACTCTCCAAGCTTAGCCAGTGAGTGGTGGAATGGAACTCATAAGTCAATGAGGTAACTCATATAAAACAGTCAGCACGTGCTGGGCATGTAGTAAATGTTAGTGTCCACTGTTGTTCTCATCGGGACTGGTGCATGGCAAGCTCACTGAGCTGTGTGTGGGAGGACACCCTGCAAGCCACAGCCGCACTCACAATCTGCTGCCTGTGGGTCAAAGTTGACCCTTAGGTATGTTTGCTTTGGCCTCTTCATGTGCTTTAAAAATTGTGGACTAGTTGTCAACATTTTAAAATGTGGGCCTGCATTCCCAGGGCAGCAGGTGGCTTGAGGTGAGCACAGGCTGCCCCTTCAGACAGGATGTATGGTCCCTGTACACCACACTCCCCGCTCCCCACTGCAGTCCCCCAGTCGGGCTACTCTCCTGCGCTGCCTGCCTGGCCCCTGTGGCCAGCTCTGAAACCTACAGGGTTGGGTCTTATCGTGGGTCTGAGCTATAGCAGCTGCTGGGACTGCTCTGGAGAGCCTGGAGGTGTCCAGACTGCATGCTACACCTTGGGGTGGCCTGGGGACTTTCTCTGGAGGAGGAGGGAGCTGGGCTAGGACAAGGTGCCTGGCAGCTATGCCTCTGCCACTCCTTGTCCTGGGCCAGGAAGCCTGACATCTATGGGGTTTGGTAAAATCATAATGGTAGGATGGTCTGCCTGTATTGGTCTTCCCCACATTCAAACAAAACCCAGTATGGACTTCCAGGGAGATAGCAGGGGGCAACTGGGGGGTCTGGGACCTGTCCCACCACTGCTGCTTTTGTGCGGGCAACCTGGGGACAGCCCTGCACCACTTTGGCCCTCAGTAATTTCCTCTGTGGAAGGGGGATAGATAATACCACCTCTCTTGGCAGACAGTGAGGAGGAGTCAGTGAGGAAACCCCTGTGCACTAGCCCAGCAAATGCTTGGGAAACAGCGGCTGAATGAAGTTAAAGCTCTGTTCCTCTGATGTGGTCCCTCAACGAGTTCTTGACCTTGGACGTGTTCCCTCTCCAGCCTCAGTTGCATTCCCTAGGGGCTCAGGGGTACAGCCACCTCAGGCCTTGTACCCTCCACTCCATCCCCAGCAACTGGCGTGCTTGTGCATGCGTGCATGTGGGAATGCTGGGAGAGACGGGTGCCCGCCTACAGGGCTTTGGTAAGGCCCCCACAAGCTGGCAATGCCACCTGTGTATGCTGGGTCCTGAGCACTTCACCCCCACACTCACTCTGCTCTGGTCTGCTCATCTCCATCCTGGGACACCCCATTCTGGCAGCTGGACCCCACAAATCACCTCTGAACCAGTCCACTCACAACATGGCCCATGAGGTCTTCTGGAGGCTCCATCAGGCTGCTGCAGGGGAAACCCCGACCTCTTCCAGCATTTAGGTATCTGGTTCCCTTGTGTAGTCCTCCACAGCCCAGCCACTCTGGGCAGCAGTGGTACCTTCTCTCCTGGGCAGAGCCACGGACGCTTCTGCCTGGAACACCTCTCCCCAGGCTGTCTCTCCACCCTCCTCCAAGATGGAACTCAGTACTGCCTCCTCTAAGAAGGCCTCCTTAGCTAGGCTCTGTGCCTGGGCTTCCTGGGGCTCACCACTTTCACAAAGATCAAAAAGAACTATATTAGCTTGGGAGTAGAATCTAGCCTCCATGGCATTTTTGAAATATTTGAACTACTAACTCACCTTTTAAATCAGGACATTTGACATACAGTTCTGAACTTCTAGTTTGTCTTGAAAAGCTAGAAGACTTCTCTTTGGATTCCTACCCTGCCACAGTGGGCTGGCGTGGGCCTGTGCTGGGCCCTGGGCACACCAGCTACTCTCTGTCACCGCTCATGTGCTGCTGCTTTTACCTGAGACTGGCTCCCCTCATTTCTGTCACCTGCCTGCCCCTTGAAGGCATCTGTATCTGAGTCTGAGCCCCTCCTGTCCCAGCCCTATGGCCCCAGCACCTCTGACTCAGGGCCTGGCACGAGGCCAGGAAGGGGGTGGTGCCTGCCAAGTGCTGGCTGATGCCTTCCAGGCCAGGGCACAGCCACCTTGCTCTCCTCCTCCAGGAAACCCAGTGTAACACACAGCCAGGAGCTCAGGCTCTATACCCAGACCACCAAGATCCCGACCCTAGTCCAGGCGCAGATCAGCTGCGTGCCTTCACAAAAGACATGTGACCTCTCTGCGCCTTAGTCTCCTCATCTGAAACATGGGAACAGGTTTGGTGTAAGGCCCAAGTGAGTTCATATAACAGAAAGTGCTTAGAACAGCGGCTGGCACAAAGCAAGGTCTAAAGAATGTTTACTATTTTTATTCCTTACCCAAATCACCCCACCCCATTCACTGAGCATACCTTCCCCATATTCACGGAGCACTTATTGTGCCCTGGGCCCTGTTCCAGGGGTGGGGGTCCAGCATGGTGTGAGTTATTTCTGTAACGGGGACAGGCTTGTAACCAATAGATGAATACAGGAGAAAGTTTCCGATAGTGCTAGATGCTAGGAAGGCAGTACAGCAAAGAGACAGCGGGATGGTGCTGGGTTTGGGGGTGTTCTTTTGGAAAGGGTATTCAGAGGGGCCCGAGGAGGCAGTGTGGGAAGTGGGGCCTCAGAGGCAATGAGATCTGAGGAACTGGGGGCAGGGATCCACTCAGGTCTTCCAGGAGGCAGGGAGGGGCTGGGGGAATGGGGGCGCCTCCAGCCAAGGCAGCCTGCCATCTCAGGGAGGCAGCAGGTGACTGCCCAGCACAGACTCCTCTGCCCGCTCCCTTGTGTGGACAAATGAGCTGGGTTGAATTTCCCGCCAGGGTCAGGGGAGTTGGGGAACCTGGAGGGAGAAGAGTAGGGGTTGCTTTTTCTTCTCTCTCTCCCTCTTTTTTTTTCGGGCTCATCCTAGTATGGCTCTGAGACTACGGAGGGAAAAAGGGCAAGAGTTGAGAGTGGCAGGAATTTATGAGCTCAGAGTTCAGGCTGCCTTTGGCAGGGGTAGGGGAAGAGGGCTCCTTTTGCCAAAACAATATTTAATTTCTTTAAGGCAGCCACAAAGCCATGATTAAGCTTGGGGTCCTAAAACAAGCCCATAAAATCGAAAAATATTTATCTGGAAGGGTGGCAAGTCCAATAAAAGTTTTATGAATGTTTTACAACTGCCCTGTCAGGAAGCTGGCCTCTCACTCACCTCCCCCCTGTCAAAAACACACCACACACACAAAAGCGTGAGCACGCACACACATACATGGACACACATAGACGTAGGCGCACCTGCATGGAGCCGAGCCCACACAGCTCCTGCTGGTGCCGTGTCCGCTGGGCGCACACAGCCTGCTCTGAGACGAGGGCATAGGGTTGCCTCTCCCTGCACGCTCCCTGCTCTGCTGAATCCTGGCACAGCGTGTCTGCCCTGGGCTTGGTTGGCATCCAATTTCCCATGACACTTGCCTCAAGGCCCAGGAGTCTGAAGGAAGCATTTCTGATTTGAGGCCTTGGGTTTCTCTCCACAAGCAGCCCAGAGGGGCTTACAGAGAGGTCATGATGGGCAGTGCTTTCTTCTTCCTGACAACCCCAGGAGCTGGGCGTCATAGCCCCCATTCTAGAGAGCAGGAGACTCAGAGAGGAGAGGGCCTTGCCTGGGGCCACCTGGGAAGTGGCTTCACAGAACCACATTCGGGCCTATCTCTAGTGTCTCCTCCCGTCCCGAGGTAGTGGATGGCGTCCTCACGTGGCCCAGCGTACTTGTGCTCCACTGTTCTTCCCCCTGCTCCCTGCTGCCCCAGCCACAGGCCCTTCTGCTCTTTCCTTTTCCACCTCAGGGAAAGGAACATCTTTGTGCAGATCCCTCCCAGAATGCCCTTCCTGCTACCCTGTAGACTCTGAACCCCGGGCCAGGTCTCCTGGGTGCTGCTTCCTTAGAAGTGCCCTGCATTTCCTGCAGGCCCCACGAAGATGCCCCTTCCGTGTCAGACCTGCCCTCTTCCTCCACGGCACGCAGCTGCACAGAAGCTTATGCTCCTGGGCCTGACCAACTACCCCTTCTGTGGAAGCTCCAGGAAGCAGGCCCAAAGCTGTCTCTCTTGCCACTGAGTCCTAGCCTGAGCTGAGGGTTGGCACGCAGAGGTGATTGACGCATGAATGTACAGATCTGGGGCTCCAGAGCTCTGGCGCTGTTCAGGCCTAATGGAACTCATCCTGGCCTTGACCCAAAGCCTGTTCTTGCCTCATGAGACATCATCCCACTACATGGGGGAAGGCCCAGCCCCCAAAGCCAGTTTCCAAATCTTTGACCTGATCATTTATTTCTAGCAATCGGCAATCATCCCTTTCTAACAACAATAAAGATGACCACTCAGGGAGAGGGCCAAATATACACCAGCCGCCCAACCCATTCATCTCCACTTGCTTCCCATTTCCTCTTCACAGGCTGCAGAGCTGTGAACCAACTGCCTGGTGGCACTTAACCCATGGTCCATTCAAACCCAAGGGTGTCTGACTCCAAGTCATGGATAGGAGGTGGTCTCTAGCAGGAAATCACATGGAGCAAGCCAGGGGCCTGGCTTTCCAACTAAATGCCCAGGTTTCCCTTCACCCCATAGCAAGAGCCAATCAGAAATCCCAGCTCCACTCTGCTTAGGGGAGGCCCAAAGATTCCCTGTCAAGGCCTGATATTCTGGGTTGATCCTAGGCCTCCAAGAAACCAGGCTGAGCATGAACTTCTGGGGAGAAAGCAGCTCTGATTATCAGATGGCTGCATCCATCACCTGGCGGGAACGGTGAGTCAGATAACACAGTGCTGGTGGGGGAGAGGCCGGCACCATTGGGGCCCCCTCCACCCACAGGTGCACATGTCCCAGCACCAGGTGACCCTACTTGCCTAGAGAAACCCTCTTATACTGCTCTGCATTGTGGAGACGTGGACACAACCCACCCAACAGGTCGCAGGTGTACAAATTGTTTAATTCGGACTATGGGATAACATATAGCAGTCAAATGGAGTCAACCAGAACCGCTGACCAGAACAGCAAGTTCCACAAAGAAAACATCAGTGTTCTAATAACACCTGGGTCAGTGTGAAACCAAGTATGTAAAACGTAAAGCACGTACGAACCCTCCAGGCTGCTCAGGAGGCCACCCTATGCAGGAAAAGTGTGAAAGCTGCACATGTGTGTGAGGCCACCAGCCGAAGAGAGCATGGTGGAGGGCTTGAGCTGTACATTTCACTTCCCCCAAACAAGATAGGGGAAGGGTGTGAAGAGAGGTGAAGAGAGATTGAAGGATGTGACAAAAAGTTCACATCTGTCTGATCTTGCTGGTTACAGGGCTGTCTACTGTACTCTGTATGGTGAAAGTTTTTCACAGTTCAAAACAAATTTTATTTTTACTTTTAGAAAATCAAATAGTGATGAAAAGGGGATGGGATAACAGGGGAGGTAAGATATAAAAGCCTCAGGTGTGCTCCTGGGCAGTCTCTGTCTAAGCATGAGGCTCTCGGGGCCTCGGCTCTTGTCCAGTGGGTATCGGGGTGCCCACCTCAGGCAGTCATCACGAGAAATGGCACCAAGCACCTTGCACCCAAAGCACCTAGAGTCCAGCCAGAGCTCTGTGGTCAGGCCCTGCTGTAGACACCCACTAATGACATGAGACCAATAATCGCACCTTGCTCCCTATACCTTACATGCCAGCCTCAGAAGCCATAGGTCAGTCACCCAACACACAGGGGCCGAGGCCCTACTATGTGCCAACACAAGGTGGAGCATGTGTGGGCCCAGAGAGGCTGGCCACATGACTCATTCTTGGGAGTCCCTGGGCATTCATCCACCTCTGTGATGGAAAAGCATTGGGTGTGTGGGGACAGCTGACGGGACCCAACCTCATCTGGGGTGAGGGAGGGGCTCCTGGAGAAAGCTCTGTGACCCCACGAAGACACTCCTTCTTGGAAAGTCCTCAGTTTCCCTTTTGTTTCTGTACTTCCTTCTCAATCATTCCCAGATCACAGGGCCTCCGATTGCCGCAAGGAAAGATACCCCTAGACAGCCTCTTCCTAGGGGCCCCAGAGACATGACAGCCACAGTGAAGGCCCTGGCACCGCCCTGTGTGACATGGGACCATGCCCAGGGAGAGGCCAGCCAGCAGATGGTTTCTGTCCACTAGGCTGTGTTTATGTTAATTGCAGATATTTTTAACGTATTGTGTTACTCCATCCATCTTTGTGAACGGTCCGTCTTGTAAAATTCTTTTAATTATGTTATTTTTTCTTGCCTATCTTCATCATCTACAATTATTTATAATATCATTGTCTTTGTTTCAAACGCTGGGTATAAACACTGTTGTAACAGTTCTTCGATGGGGTTCATATAATTTTTACAATTGCTTTGAAATGCTTCAATGGCCAAAGCGGGAGGAGGCTGGCTATTCATTTGGGGAAAAAAGTACACCCCGAAGTGCTCTCTGCGCTTGGTAAAGGTGCTCCTCCGTCAGGACGGCTTCCAGGAGAGGCTGGCCCTGTCAGGGCATTCCTGCACTGGGTGGGGGTTGGCAGCAGCTAGCTGGCTGCTGGATTAGGTTTCAGAGCTGCCGTCCCTACAGACACTGGGGCAAGATCCACAAAGGGCAGTGGCGGGCTAAGACACCCAGGAGAAAGATGGATGGTTTGTTTTCATTTTTACAGGGATTTTCTGAAACCTCAACTTTCACCCCTCACCTCTCTTCAACTCTTTTCTCCCAACCAAGCTGTTTTCCAGAGTCTCCCTGGCCGACCAGTCAGCTGTGTGGGACAGAACCCAGTGGAATGCCCAGGATTGCCTGTGGAGAGTTTGCCCTCACCTCAGGGGTCACAAGTACATCCAGACTGCCCTGACAAAGCTGGCTTCGGGCCTCCCTGTGGGACGGGAGTGGGATGAGCTGTCTGGGAACAGCCAGCAACTTGGAGAAGTCAGCTGTCAGAGTCAGGCTGGCCTGCAGCTGGGGCCAGCAGCCAGCCTGGGGGTGTCAGGCACAGGAGAGAGGGCTGCCTGAGTCCTGTACTGGCTTTCCCACACTTGCCATGAACTCTCAGGGGCTCCTACGAGCAGCTCACCAGGCCCCCAGACCACTAGTACCACCACTGTCCACAAACACTCCTCCATCCTAGTTCCTCTGCCCAAAGACCCTCAGTGGCTCCCTGCTGCCTGTAGGTGGGCTTATCTCCCTCCTTGGTCAGTGTGCTAGGCCCTGGGGATGCAGTGGTGCACAGATCCAACATGATTCCTGTCCCAGGCGGGAGGTCACAGGCTGTCCTTGGATTGATCAAAGACTGACTCTTCTTTTAAGGCTCTGAGAAACCTCCCCTACTCTTCTGGGTGGTGGCTCCCTCCTGAAGGGCCTCAGATGGAGGAGGACTGTTGGAATGCCCACATATGACAGGCCCTGGGTCTGGGCTCTGGGTTCGTGACTCAGCATGGGGCCAGTCACAAAGGGCATCTGGATGAGAGATGCAGGTGCTGTGAAGGACAAAAGCCATCTTGGTAGAGGTGCCTCTGGATTGCACAGGGTTGGGGTGACGAGTATACACTATGGAGATCTGCAGGTCAGAATCCAAGAGGTACTCTAGTCCCCAGTGTAGGAGGCTGAAGTGGGAAATTTTGGCAGACAGTCATAAAGATGCCAGACTGTGAACTGCACGTTTTTCTCCACTTATCTTCTTCTTCTGAATCTCTTTAAAGAAACTTGGATATGGCAAAATGGTTGACTTTACTAGTTATCAAAGAAATGCAAATTAAAGACACTGAGATGTCATTTGCCATGTAGGAAAATAGCAAAGATAAATAACACAGGGGAGCCTGTGCTGGTGAGGGGTAGAGAACAGACACCTTCACCCACTGCTGATGGAAGTATAAAATGGCACTGTACTTTTGGGAAACACTTTGCCAGGAACTCTTAAGAACTTTTTAAATGTCTGTGATGTTTTCATTTTAAAAATTAGAACAATTCAGCTTCTGAGGCTCCATCTTAAGAAAATACCCTACATATTAAAACAGAGATTTATAGACAGAGATGCTTCCAGCAATGTTATTTACAAGAGATGGAACATCCACAGATGCTTAGGTAGCCCATTAAGGCCTTGGCAAGGTTGGTTACTGTTACGCTGCATTGAAAACAATGGCCACATGACTGAACACAGCTCTTGCTATTGCTGAGTGTTGCATGTGCTTTTACATTTTACTGGACATTTATATCTTGGAGCATCTCCACCTAGGGCACATTCGGTATCCATTTTACAGGCGAGGAAACTAAGACTCAGCGAGGCCTGCTTGGTTATCTAGGTTGTAGACCTGGTAAGTAATGGTGCTGGGATTCAGACCAAGCTCTGTCTGAGCCCGGAGCCCAGGCTCTTAATCACTACGTGGTTCAACTTCCCTTGGAGACCACAGAGTAAAACAGTAAAAGAAAAAAAAAAGTTTGTATAATAAATATTAATTGAAAAGAATCAGACACAAAATTGTATACACCATATCTCAATTACATAAAAAGAAGGCTTTGCAGAGAAAAGACGGAAGAAACTAAGTCAAAATATTAATAATGGGACTATGGGAGACTTCTTTTTATTTTCTTTAACATGCAAATCTCCTTGAATGACTATTACTATTATACTTCTAGGTTATTAAAAAAACAGTTTGTGAGGTTTTTTTCAAACCAGTTTGGATGGAAACAAAAGTCTGGGGCCAGGCCATGACCCCTGAGTGAGAGATTGTGCCGCTGCTGGGCACGAAGAAGCCATGGGGCCTTCTTCCCCCAGGTGACAGAGGGAAATTAGCCCACAGTGTGAGGGTTCCCCAAACCTTTGGGTGCAGAACAATCACCTATTCCTGACCTAGGTTCTGACATTAAATCTTTCCTCTTTCACAAGAATCATGAGACACTGCTGACTCTGCTGAGACTTCTGAGTCCCAGTTAGGCACTGGTGAATCCTGATATGCTCACTGCTTGGCCAGAAGGATCATCTTTCCACCACACAAGTCAGTGTGCCAAGGCTAATGAGGATGAATGATGTATTTGCAACTGGGATGGTCACTGTTACTGGGGAGAGGAACAGTTTTCAATGGCTGAAGGGACAGAGGTCCTTCAAATCCCACCATGAACATACCTGACAAAACACAGCTTACCTGGGGTCTGCCAGCTGATGGGTGGGACCCTGGAGACACTGGGAGACTCAGTCCAGCCCTCAGCCTAGAGAAGCTCACCTCTGGGGAAGAAACCCCAGCAGTCCAGAGGGCTCAGGAAGCGAAGCTGGCCCAGAATGCTGCGGGGCCCTGGGAAGGGCTGTGGCTGTGCAGGTTAGGGTGATGATGATGGTAAGGCCATGCCAGTGGTGAGGAAAGCCCAAGCACAGTGGGCATTCCTGCTTGCAGCAAACACCTGCTGTTTCCGCCTACTTCTAGTAACAGCCCCTGGTTTTCCTTGGGGATGCAGGGTTGCAAAAGGGTGCATCCTTGGTGCCAAGAGGAGCACATGACCCAGGCTGGCCAGAGAACTGTGCATGCCCCAGGCTCCTGTGCTGGTCTGGGGATGGTGTGGGGCTCTAGCACTTTGGTGGGGTTACTGGGAAAGAGGCACCCTACTCCACTGGACTTGCAGCTGGAAGACCATCTATGGAGAAGCCTGGCTGGGACAGCTGCCTGAAGGAGGGCAGGGCTGAGTCCTGGGATCAAGCACCACCTCTGAACTTTTTCAGGCACATGGGTCAATCTGAGGCTTCAAATACCCTATTTCTCAGCCCCATCTAGCTTAAATAAAGGGTGGTGTTCATATAAAGGGTGTGTGGTGGAGATCACAGGGGTTTGCCCACTCACTCACTCATCCAACAGTGAGCAGTGAGCATGTGCAGGCCACAGACTAACACAGCAAAGACCTTCCACTTGGGAGCACCTCCCAGCCCAGTCGTGGAATGAGTGTGGAGCCACCTGGGATTCAGAGCTCTCTGTCCAGGGAGTGGAGAAGCCGATGTGGCACTGGAAGAGATGCGCAAAGGAGGAGAACATTGAGGACCTGCTCCGTTTGAGAAGGACAGGGAGCCTTCCTAGAGGTGGCATCTGAGCTGAGGCCAGAGCACCCAGCGCAAGTGGCAGAATGAAGGAAAGCTGCTATGGGCTGCTGCAGGGCTAGGGCTGGAGGGTGGCCTGCGGTCCAGAGGGACAGAGGGAGGGGAGGCAGAGAAGGCTGGTGGGAGACCGACTGCGAAGCATGCCAAATGCCATACTAAGAGGGCACTGTCAAGGCAACTTCTGAGCATAGTGCCTGGTGTGGATTTGTGCCCATGGCGAGGGTGGGCAGGAGGTAAGGGGCTAGCAAGCAACAGCCACAAGAAGTGAAGTGCTCACCAGACAGACAGGTGCTGGAAGATGGCACATGAAGAGGCAGTGGCTTTACCAATCCCCAGACAGACACAAATCCTCACCACCAAAACTTAGCCTACACCTGATCCCCCAGGGACTGTCTGCAGCCCCTGTGAAGAGGAAGAGAAACACACTCGAACTCACAGGACAGTTCTAAGGGTCCAGGCACTTGGTACACATTTTCTTACTCCTCTATTACAATCCTGAAGGCAGGGACCACTCCTTTTTTTATATAGGACAAGGAAACTGCAGTTTAGAGTATTTCTTTAACCACCCCAAAGGCTGGGCCAAACCAAAATGGGAACTTCTGGAATTCATGTTGGGCCCTTAGCTCAGGGCCAGGTGGAACAGATGGACAAAAATGAGAACAGTCAGAGGCAGAGAACACAGGGCTAAGAGCATGAGCTCCAGTGCCAGATGGCCTGGGCTCAAGTCTCAGCTCTGGGGCTCAAGAGCTGTGTGACTTGGAGCACTTTCCTTTACCTCTCTGTGCTTCTGTTTCCTCATTTGCAAAATGGCAATTTCAATAATTATAATTCCTTCAGGTTTGTTGTGAAGAGTAAATTATATTATTATATATAATATGCTTAGAAAAGTATATGGCATACAGTGAGAAATATATTATTGTTTTTCATTTTTTTTAACAATTTCTAACTTTGATCACTGAATCATAAACATGGAGGAAAATCACGTCTCAGTGAAATTTCTGGCATTCTTTTATTCAGTGTGCCTTTATTGAGCCACAATTAGTGCCAGGAACTGGAATGGGGTCCCCAGTAGAAAGCCCCCTAGGTCTCCCCCACTCACCCACTGAGGCAAACTAAAGAAATCTGAGAGTGAGTAAGTGTGTCCTGACTGAATGGCCCACACTCAAAGGTTGATGGTGAGAAAAGCTCCAGGATGACTCTGAATGTTGGCCATAATAACGAAAAACAGTGGGAAAAATTGTAGGTACCTGACCAGTAGGAGATGGTGAGGTAAGCACGGTCCGCTTACACAAGTCTACAAGCACAGCCCTTGGAGGCGAGGGGAAAACATGAACAGCAGCCTCTGAGGAAGCCCCAAGGAAAGCAGCAGTATGACCTGGGGGTCTGGTGTGGTGTCACGTCCAAAAGAGCCACACAGTCGATGACAGCACTGGGCACCGATGGTGCATCTTCAGGTGCTGGACCCTGGGTGGGCACTTCATACTCATGGTTTCCAACTGCACCCTCCAGAGCTAATGATAGACATCAGCACTGCCCTTGCATGCTGCAGAGGGGAGTGCAGCTCAGGGAGGCAGCGGGGCTGGTCCAGGTCTAATGGCCAGTGAAGGAGGTGGGCCTTCAACTCTCACTCCCGACCATGAGCCCTTCCCAGCCTGGCCAAGTGACATGTGGAAAGTGCTGGAAGGAAATGGAACCAAAAGTCCCTTGGGATGCTACTGGGGTGAGGAGACTGTGGGTGACTTTTTCCCCAGATTTTTAAGCTTTCTCTCTAATGGGACTGTGAAATTTTATGGGTGAGAATTGGCTTAAGATATGCATGTGATACCTGGATCTTTTTGGTTAGCCCCCTCCAGAGCTGACCCACCCCAAGGACAGGAGACTGGATGAATAGAGCCCTGCTGGGAAGGGCTTGGTATAGGCACTAGCCTGTATCTGTGAGGAGGTTGTGTGTGGATAGCAGAGCTCCCTGGACATGCACGTGGTGATCCCAACCTTCGAGCACTAAATAAACACCAGGTCACAGGAGCCCCAGCTAGGGGTTGCTCACCAACCAAAGGCTCGCTGCTGCTGTAGGTCCCTGGCTAACTACCCGGCAGCAGTGAAACACTCTGGCCCAGGGCTAGATCCTGTGTGGGCCACAGAGGTTCCCTGGAGACAGGTTCCAGGAGTGGCCCTGGGTGCCTGAGCAATCCAATGGTTACCTGTAGCTCATCAAGTGCCATTCTAAACTCAGCTGACTCTGTGGCCAGGTGAGAGAGCCCAGGTGGAGGAGGCAGGCAAGAGCAAGGTGGGCCCAACATCCACACAATGGGTGCCAGGTTCTCTCACTCGTCCCTGCCTGCCTGGCTCCACATTGCACGGAACTCCACACTCCACTGGCTCCCAGTTCTCTTTCAGCATAAAGTGCTGGGGCTCTGCAGTCAGACAAAATGGGGTAAAATCCTGGCTCCTCCTCCCTTTCTCAGCTGTGCGACCTCGTGCAAGTCATTCCACTTCTCAGGGCCTCATCTTGACATTTGTACAGGGCAGATCAGTGAGACGCTCTTCAGGAAACACTCAGCCTTGGGACTGCTCTGTACATGTTTTCTATAGGTACAATTACAGGTGTTATTGTTATTACTCCCCTGCCTCCTCCTCAGACAGGAAGGAAGCCAGGAACAACTCAGAGGTTTCATGGAAGTGACATCTACAGCAGCAGTGGCTGGTGAGCACCAACCCTCGCTAGGCGCAGCTCTAAGCACTGCTGTGAATACCTTGTTTACGTATAGTCAGGGGCCCAGCACCCTTCACCCTAACCTGTTTGTCCCAGAGAGGGCTGCTGTGCTGTGGTCACTAAAGGCAGTGTGGTCTGTCAGACATTGGGTGAGTGACGACCTACTAATAGTGCCCACCTCAGGGGGTGCTGAAGGAACAAAAGAGTGGATTTCTACACTGTAGTGGATTTCAACAAAGCATGTCAGGTAGTCTGGCACACAGCAGGAGCTAAATGAACATCGGCAGTAACAGTGGTAGTAGTGGCAGAGCATGCTGGAGCACCGTCCTGCCCCAGGCCCTCTGTACCCCCAGCACCTAGCCAGGAAGGGGTTTTCCTCCCCTTGCTAGTGACTGTGATGACCAAGCGTCTCTGAACACATGGTAAGTGTTGTGGTGAATCCAAATCATGGGGGAATTTGGGGCAGGGAGTTTCCTGCTGCTGGCACATGTATTTAAAGGCTTCAGGGTTTTAGGCCCCTTGACCAGCTGCCATGGCAGTCCAGGGCATGGAGTATCAGACACAAGATCCACAGAACTGCCCAAGCCAAGATCATCCACGATAGAACATGGGCCGGCCTCTGATTTCTGGAACTTTCTCTCAGGTATCTAAGATTGCTGGTGGTTTGCTAAATCAAGACTTTCTGGAGAGACCCTCCAGAGACAGCCAATCGCAAGTTCCACTTTCCACTGCCTAAAATGTTAATTGTTTTATCAGTTCACTCTGCTGACTTTATTTAGGTAGGATAACTGCATATGGAAAAATACAAATTTTCCCTAAAACTACAAACTGGCAAATCTGGAAAGTTTTAGAGAGTCCTAAGCAAAGAGAAATAGTTCCCAAAGAAAAGTTGCATTCACTGTGTAAGGGCCAGTAAAGATCCTGCACTCCTGGTCCGCACCAGGCTGGACAGAGCCTCCCTCCTCTCAAGGCCACTGGGCCCAGAGCTCAGGGCCCCCCACCACCAAGCACCCAGAGACCTCAGGATGGATGAGGCACTGCCGCCGGGCCCCGGCCCCTGCAGGACCACTCTGTCCTCTCTTTCCCCATGGCCCTGTAGGGCCCCTACCATGGGGCTGGGACTCTGGGGGCATGCCTAGGCCCTCCTTGCTGGCCAGAGGCTGCCCACGAGGCCTGGGGTAGAATCTATTCTGGACATCACCCTCCTCATTCTGCACCCCAACAGGTTCTGGGGTGCATCCTGCCCCTCTGCCCTCCTCCCCATGTGCCCACTGTCCAGCCTCAGGCCTTGGCTTGCCCCCTCCAACCAGCTGCCAGACAGAGCTTTCTGACTGTGTTCCTCCCTGCACACCAACCACCAGTTCCTTCTGCCACTTGCTTAGACCAGTGGTTCTCAACTGGGGGATATTTTGGTCCCCAGGGGACACTTGGGAACATCTAGAGAAGTTTTTCATTGCTGCAACTTGGGTGAGGCTGTACCTAGTAAGAAGAAGCCAGGGATACCCACAAACACCCTGCAGGGCACAAGGCAGCCCCACAGTAGAGGATGGTCCAGCCCCAGTGTCAGCAGTGTCGATGGGAACCCTGTCTAGACAAAGGCCAGATACAAGCATGGAGGCCAAGGCCTTTCGGGAGTAAGCTCCTCCTCCCCTCCTCCCCATCCATCCAAGGATGAGCCTCAGGGCTGGATTTGAGGTGAACAGCAAGGAGGCTCCCCAGGGCCTCAATTGGATTCCATGAAAGACTTCGGGTGAAAAAACAAAGAATTCCATTGCTTTTAAAAAAAAAACTGCTCCAAAACCATCATTTTATATATATCAAAGGAGTTAATAACATATACAACACTTAGAACAATGTCCTACTCATTTTAACAAGCAATGAATATTAGTTTCTATTCCATATTCCCAGAATATGCCACTCTTTCCATCCTCTGTGCCCTAGCACACTCTGTTCCTTCTGTCCTGAACACCCTTCCTCCCTTTTCTCCCTGGGGAAATCTCCTCACCTTCAAGACAAGCTCAAGCCTCACTGCATCGGTAAAACTTCCCACCTTCACTCTGGAAGGGAGCAGTCACTCCATGCTCTTTCTCCAAAGCCCTGTAGGGCCCCTACTATAGTGCTTGCTCCTTTCTGTAACATCTCCACCCAAACGGTGCCCCCTGGGATGGGCCTAGAGCCAGTCCTCTGTGCTCAGGTCTGATGCTGGTCACAGGGAGAGGGGCAATGGCTGAAACAGAGCTGGGCTGGGGAGAGAGGGTGGGTGGTCGGGGAGAGGGAGAAAGAGAAGGCTTTGGGGGAAGTAGCAGCTCCTCTCCTCCCTCCACAGGCCCTGGCTTAGCCCCATGGGGATATGGGAGAGGGGTAGGATATCCCTAGATCTGGCTCCAGAGAGTCAGCTCTGCCTCACTGCTGCCAGACCGGGGCCTTTACTGTAACTTCCCAAGGGACCTGCTGGTGCCCCTCCTCCCAGGCCACAGAGGCATCCTGCATGGGGCACAGCTGCTGAGCTATGATACCGGTGGTGAGTGTGGGCCGCTGCACTCCCTCCACACAGCTATCTCTGGGCCTGGGCTCTGTCTTCATCACCTCATTGAACCTCCTAACAACCACCTTCACTAGTGGTCAAACCTAGCATTGCCTATGATGGGCAGACATCCGGATAGGACACACTAAGGCCCCGAAATCACCTCTGTAGAATTCCTTCCAAAAATGCACAGCCTGAACCCAGTCATGAAGAAATATCAGACAGACCCAAAGAGTGCACTGGGAAACAACCAACCTGGGCTCTTCAAAAACATCAGTGTTGTAAAACTATTGGTGGCAGCACTGAGCGCAGGTGCCACCTTTCACTGACTCCTCAAGCATGGAAAACTTCCTAAGACACTATTGCGACAGTTGGGGAATCTGAAAATGGACTGTATCCTAGACAATGTGGCATCAATGTCACATTTCTCCAGTGGTAACTGCGTTGTGGTTCTGCAGGAGAATGTCCTTGTTCCTCGGGGACATGTGCTGAGGGTGCAGGCACAGCAGCAGCACCAGGAGGAACCCTCAGTCGGCTCGGCGCACAAACAAAGCAGACAAGACAACACGGAGCAATTGTTGAAGCCAAGGGAGCAACACTGCTCAATAAGCTTTCCACTCTTCAGTATGTTTGAAATTATTTAAAAAGCTAGGAGGGAAAGTCCTCAAGATAACCCACCTTACTGATGAGGAAACTGGGATTTTCAGAAAGGGTAGCATTCTAGCCAGGATTCCAACACAGGTCTGGCTGCCTCCGAAGCTCTTGTTCTTTGAAGGTACCCTGCTACCCACATCCCAGTGTGGGCTGAAAATGCCAAGTGTGCACAATACCAGCCCTGCCAATGTCTCTCAGTAAAAGTTAATTTGGTCCTGGCAGGGGCTACTTTCCAGGCAGCTGGCTGGTGGTGCTAATGAAATCCCAAGGACAGGTTATTGGGGTTGCCCCAGAATCTGCTCCAAACAGAGCAGCTGGATGGTTGGAGAGAGCACATTTTAAAAGAGAAGAAAGCCAGTTTCATTTCAAACCCCAGAGGAACACACAGCCTCACAGCCCATTGTCTGAGGGCCTGTTATTTATGGGAACATAACAATATCCACAACCTCAGGGCTCATCGTGTCCTGTCCCTTTGGCACCAGGATGTGTTTTCACTTTTGCTCTATGCTGAGTTTCCAGAAGCCTCCCAGCTAAGTGGAACCATGGGTGATGTCCACTTCCATTGGGAACTTCAGGGTCTGGTGGGCCAGTCATCTAGCTCCTCTGAGCCTCACAGTGCCTTTGGGAGAAACAGGGCGATGGCCTCCTCTTGAAGGCTGCAGCAGGAGGAAGAGACGGCACATTAAGGACCTGGTGCCAACACAGAGACCACACATTGTGGCCCAACTGAGAATGGGAAGATTTCATGTAAAAATACAGATATCCAGGCTTTCTTGAAAAATTGGAAGTGGTAATGCCACCGTGGCTGTGCTACAGCCCAGCAATACGGGCATGGAGCTCAGGGGGCCCAGCCCCTTGGGTTTTCAGGCCTGGACTCCGGCACGTGTCAGGCTCATGCGGTGCAGGCAGATGAGGGAAGGGGCTGGCAGCCCACTCCCAACGCCTGCAACATGCTGGGCATCCTTGCACACTGGTTTACTCCTCACAGTCCTTCAAGACAGGATTGTTACCCCCATTTTATCAGATGAAAACCGAGGGCTCCAAAGGCAGTGAGCTGACCCAGGCCCTTCAGAAGGATTAGCAACAGTGAGAAAGCTTCCGGGAAGTGGCCCTGACCAGCAAGGCTCAGCTGAGCTACCACATCCAGGGAGTGATTTTAACATGCGCAGTTGTCATTGTTGTTTATTGTTTTTTAAAACTCCTCTTTCTTAAAACACAGAAAACTTCATTTCTTGTGTGTGTTGTGGACTGTACTTCTTTTTTTGTTTTTTTTTTTTTGTTTTTTTTGGAGATGGAGTCTCGCTCTGTCACCCAGGCTGGAGTGCAGTGGCGCAATCTCCTGGCTCACTGTAACCTCCATCTCCCAGGTTCAAGCAATTCTCCTGCCTCAGCCTCCCGAGTAGCTGGGACTACAGGTGTGTAACCACTATGCCCAGCTAATTTTTAAATTTTTATTAGAGATGGGGTTTTGCCACATTGGCCAGTCTGGTCTCCAACTCCTGACCTCAGGTGATCCGCTTGCCTCAGCCTCCCCAGGCATAGGGATTACAGGTGTGAGCCACTGCACTCAGCCTGTGGACTGTACTTCTGTGCCAAATGCAACCACCATCTGCTGTGACTGGCTGTAGCTGGAGACAGGACACACTCCAGCTGACCTTGTGCAAGGGGCTACACCCAGGATCTAGGCTGTGGCAGCACCATCCTGGCCCAGCCCAAGGGCATCAGGCCATGTGACTGGCCCCATGGAATTCCTGAGGCACGGCTCTCCCAGTGGGTGGTGGGAGGAAGAACCATTAGGCAAGTGATCGCAGGAGGCAGCTTTTCAGCAGAGCCCTAGCCTGAGCTGGAGTCAGCACGCGTCACCAGTGCAGAACTGCTTGGCATTCCAGATGAAATGGGTGACAGGAAAAGGGAGTCTTATTGTAGAGCTGGTTTCTTTGGAGGGCTGATGGAGCCAGTGATATGGCCAGGCAGGCAGTGGGGCCACAGCACCAACTGTGGTGCTTCACTCATCTCTGGGTCTGGTTTCAAGGCTGTCTCTCTCCCTGTAAGGTGGGAAGGGGACATAAGTCCATAATCGGCAGCCTAAGTAGGGGTGCAGCAATGTTGCAGTCTCACGGCATCCCTGAGGTAGGCCTTGTGGAAACAGGATGTGGCTCTTGCTTACAGGCACAGGAGTCCACACAGCAGGTGGCTGGTTCGATGCGGAGGTGATACTCAGGGCCAGCAGGAATAGCCTGAGCAGCACCACTGTGGCACCCTCACCTCCAGGGGCACTGAGACTCCAATTTGTCCTCAGACCCCAGTGCAATGCCACTTCCGAAGGAAGCCTTCCCAAGCCCAGACTCGGTTGGGGTCCTACTGTAAGATCTCATGGCATTGTGCACCTTCTGTGCACAGCATGCATGTGGCTGCCAATACACAAATGCTCAGGAGAAAGTCTGCCAGTGCCAGCATCCTAACTGTTACAGGCTGAACTGTGTCCCTTCAAATTCATATACTGGAATCCTAACCCCCAGACTTTAGAATGGGACTGTATTTGGAGGCAGGGCCTTTAAAGGTGTAATTAAGATGAAATGAGGTCTTTAGGTTGAGTTCTAAACCAAACTGACTAATGTCCTTCAAAATAGAGGTTGGGACACAGACACGCACAGAGGGACAGCCATGTGAGGACACAGGGAGAAGGCAGCCGTCTGCAAGCCAAGAGAGAGGCTGCAGGAGAAACCCACCCTGCAGACACCTTGATCTTGGACTTCCAGGCTCCAGAACTGACAGGAAATGAATGCCTATTGTTTAAGCCACCGCGTCTGTGGTATTCTGTTATGATAGCCCGAGTTGACTAGTACACCAACCCAACAGCCCCATGAGCTCAGGGGTCATGTGGGCTGTGGCTCACTGTGGTCTTTCTAGAACCCAACACAAGGATGACACATAACAGGGGCTCAAAAGCACACTGTTGAACAGAGGGGTGATTAGCTGTGAACTCCCGGGGTGCAGGGACTGTGTCTTGTTTGAGCCATGTGCCCAGAACCCAACACTATGTCTGATACCAGAAAAATACTTTCCACACACAAGAGTCAGTGCTTGGTAAAGAAGAGCTAGCTAAAGTCAGAGTGACTGTGTGAGGCCAGAGCCCTCCTGTCTCTGACCTTGAAAATCAGGACCCCAGCTCCTGCTCCTCCTCCTCCTCCTCTGTGCCCTCAGGCTGACTGCCAGGGCACTGGGGTTGGTCTGATTTCCTCCTCTGCAGAACTGGGGTGATGACAGCCTGGTTTCCCTGGGCTGCTGGCAGGATTGAGTGGTCAGACTACACAAGGGCGTGCTGCCTGGCACAGGGCATGGGCAGCAGCTGATTGTACTGCTGACATTGTCTCAGCCTCAGGCCCTGCCTGCTACCCTCCGGATGGCTGTAGGCCCTCATGCTACAAGTCACCCAGGCCAATTCCATTCCTTCTGGTCACCAGCCCATATGGACCAATGCCCCTGGCCATTTCTTAGAACCATAGTTTCTATTCTTAGAGTTACTTGCCTGGGACCTCACCAACACACTGGTCCCCCAAAACCACTGAAGGGGTGTGTCCCCAACTCCTGCAGGCCTGGCCCAGTCCATACTAAATGACCCATATTTCTAGCAAATAGAGCTTCTGGGACTTAGGCCCTGACAAATCTGCCACCTTGTGAACCTGGGTCTGAGAGCCCCTGACAATCTGTTGCCTGGTCAACAGAGAGGTGCATCAGCTTCTGGGCTGAGCTGAAGCACTTGCTGCTCTGCCCTGTACTGGTCCCGGGAGAGACATTGGCCATCCAACGGCTGAGGCAAAGCGGGGCATCTGGGGGATGCCTCTATGATTTGGCTTCTGTTTTCAATCAGGAGGGAAAGGTATAATCCTTGTTTTTGACCATGCAAAGTGCTTTCCAGGGTCAATAAATTGGAGAGGTCCTTGTGGCACAGCCAATCCCTGCTTGAAAGGTGGCTGGTTAATCTCCTGTGAAGCAGCCTGGCATGAATGCAGCACCGGGGCTCCTACAGGCATCGTTTCCCAGTGCTCTGTGGTAGGGACAGGGCATGGGTGGGAGGATAAAGTGAGGCCCTCAGTGGACATGTGAGCTACCCCACCAAGAGGAAGGGCTGGCAGGTGAGGGGTGGGTGCACACAGCACACAATTCCAGCCACCACTTAGGGAGCCCCTGCCGTAAGTGGATACTATAGGCAGTCCTCTCCAGGGATTCTATGATTAAATTTTCAGCCTTCCTGGAAATCAGAATGACTAGCTCTGGGTTAGCACTGAAGAAGCTGAAGCACAGACTGGAAAGTGGCTGGTCCCAATCAGAAGGGAGCCTGGGATGCCCCAGGAGACCCTCCAGGTAACTAGCCCAGCGGCCCCTGCAACCTTGGCCTCGTCTGACCCGTCCCTCTCCTAAACCAGAGAGTGGTTCACAGAGGAGTTGTCCCACTGGGTGTTGGCCCAGGGCTCTCCATCCACTCAGGGAGCCCCCTCCCCACCCAGGCCTTGTTTCACCTCTGACCCCCTCCAGCACCTAGACAGGTCTGTACACGGAGGGCCCAATAAATTGTGATGAGGGACAGAGGAGGATGGGATGGGATACCATGCTGAGCCCTGAGACACCTGATTCAGCACAGGGGCCACGGGCTACCAGCTGGAACCCCAGAGTCCTGGGAGAAGGCTGCAGGGCTAAGGGAGCAGAGCCAGCTGGCAGGGCTGGCACTGCCCTCAGCAGCAGGTATGCTGTGCCCACTTACTCCTGCTGGCCCCTCTGCTCGATCTCCCTGGGGCAGACAGAGAACTCTGGCCCATTCACTTACTAGCAGTGTAGATGTGAGCAAAGGGCCTGTTTCCTCACCTGTGGGTTGGGGCCACGCTGCCATGCAGGCTGTGGAGGGCTAGACTAAATGGCAGCTCCGGGACAGGGTTTGGGAGGTGCTCTTGGCCTTCCCAGCCCCTGCTTCCTGCCAGTGCATCCCCACAGCAGTGCTGCAGGGCCTGGGGGTCAGGTGCACTCCACAGAGGAGTGGCTTGAGCACTGGCAGAGTCAGCAGTAGATGAATGAGGCTGGAAGAGGCCCTGGAGGGGCAGTCTGAGAATTCACATGCCCACTGTGTAGGCGAAGGAACTGGAGCTCAGGGCAGGTATGAGGGCCAGGTTCCCGACTCCCCATCCCATGGTCTTTCCACTGTCCTGGCCTTTTCCTGACCCTGGCCATGAGGCTGGACTGACCACTGGCCACAGGGTTCTAGCGAACATCACACATCTGATTCTAGCTCTCTATGCAGCCTTCTGCTCCCCGCTCGCCCTTCTGCTCAGAAGGCTACTCCTCCAGGAAGCTTGCTCTGGCCCTCCTCTCAGGATGGCCACTTTCCCCCATTCCCAGCCACACGTCCCAGTGGCCACTTGCCATGCTGACTGTGAATGGCTGCTCATGTCTCTGCCTGTCCCACAGGGAAAGCACCTTGGGACAGGACTCTGAGAAGGATCTCAGTATCCCCCGCCCGAGCCCTAAGCCTCAACTAAGTTTGCCGAGCTAAATGGACTGGCAAACCCTGGATTGATTAATTTATTTACATTTTTGTAGGGATGGGGTCTCGCTTTGCTGCCCAGGCTGGTCTTAAACTCCTGGCTTCAAGCAATTCTCTTGCCTCGGCCTCCCAGAGTGCTGAGATTACAGGGGTGAGCCACTGTGCCTGGCCCCCTTGTTTTAAAGATCAGGAAACTCGAGCCCTCCCCCAAGCTCTGTTCCTAGGCAGCAGCTTCTGAGGGAGTCTGATGAGGTTGGTGTCTGCCCGCATTGCTGAGGTTCTGGGGAAGCCTGTAGCACACAAAGCACCAGGCTGTTTGGCCTCCACTGTGAGGCTGCAGAAAACAGAGCTGAGAGTGGCCCTCGTGGGCCTGGGTACATTCATTTGTTCATTCCAGTCCAGTCTATTCCACCAAACTCCTTCATTTATTCATTCATGCAAGCAACACTTCCTATTCCATGTAAATCCATCCCCTTCTGCATGGCACACTGATGGGCATAATTCAGAGTCACAGCCCCTGCAGCCCTGGGGGTGGGCACAGGGGCAGCATTGGGTGCAGGATGGCCCAGGAGCCCTCCTCAGGACCCTCTTCAGAGGTGAGCAGAAGTGGCTTTCCTGACTCCCTCTTCCCAGGGGCCATAGGGTAGTCATTTCAGGCCCTCTGTCCAAGGGCCCACTGAGCTGAATGACCAACCCTTCCCTTCTCCCGCATACCCTGAGGAAGGGAGATACACTTCAGTGCCTCACCCCCAGCCCTGCCTATAAGGCATCATGGTGTGGGGAGTCTCGAGCAGAGTGGTTGAGAGTGAGGTGCTCTGGGTTCGAATCTCAGGTGTGGATGTTTGCTACCTTTGCCCAAGTGTCTGCTTTGTTCTGGCTTTCTTGCGCTGAGTGCCCACCTCTGTGGCACACCTCCCTGGGCACAGACTATCCTAGCCCTGGCATGCAGCAGAGCGGTTTGAAATGGTCTGCTTGTGCAGTGAAACGAGGTGCTTGTTGCAATGGGAACACCAGCAACTGCACTGCCCATCCTGCCAGCCCCAGTCTCCTCAGCTGTACAGCGGGCAGCCCAACTGCTATACATCATAGCTCACATTTTGGGGGCTGTTTCTCCTCCTCCTGAGTGCTGGCTCTCCCTGATAATCAGTAAATAGAAGCTCCTTCTGGGGTCTTAACTGTAAGTATGGTTCTACAAATTTTTTTTCTTTTTCTCATCTGGAGTACATTAATTTGTGATTAGTAATAATCAAAAGGTTATTAAAGATCACCAAAAGTAAGATCTCTATTTTAGGGTTTGAATGAGAATTCTGGCTACTCACAAGACCAAGTGCCTGAGATATGAGTACCCTTTTGAGCTCCCGGCACGTGAGCAGCACCCGCTGCTAGGATGAGGCCGCGGCTGTGGCCTTGAGTGGGCTATGTTCTCAATCACGGCTCTCTGGCTAGTATGAGGTAAGCACTTGCAGCTCTGTTCCATGGTCAGTTGTTACCTGGTGAGAATCAGTGACACATGGGCACGCGAGTGGTAATAGGGGCCTGGGGCTTTCCAGTAACAAGGCTTTAAGCTCCGCGTGCCCCTCAATGCTAAAGCAGACACACACATGAACTGTCCCAAATCAGCTGGTTCAGGAGCACCCTGTGGGAGAGGGGCCACCTATCATGAATTTGGGCCATTCAAAAAGCTTGCCACATCTTGGCAGGTACACAAAACAACAGCCCTGGGAGATTTTAGATTTACAGAGCATTGCTTCAGGAGATAAGATCACGGGCACATGTGTGCCCTTTTCTGTCCTAGAGTAAATGCCCAGTGACTCAGAGCTGTCATTAGGAACAAGTCTATTCAGCTTCTCACATGATTCTTCTCCAGTTGGGAGTCATCAAGGTGTTCTTTTCTCCCTGCAAAGTGGGAACAGGAGGGGCTGCGGAAGCTGTTGTCCCACCCGCCATCCAGCCTGCCTCTGTGAGTGAGTGCTGATGCCTGGCACACTGAGGCAGAGGGGAGGGTGGCAGCGGTGGGACAGACGGCTTGCCAAGATGAGCTTTGGGAGCGCAGCCTCCCAGGTGCAGTGCTTCTCCAAGCACCACATGGGCCTCCCAGCTCCAGATTCTTTGAAGACATGACTGCTCTCTAGGGGCATCAACAGAGCTGATGGAGAGGGGTGAGGTGACACAGACAGACCGTGGGCAAAGCCCTCAGGCTCTCTGCTACCCGGCTCCCACCTGTGAGATGGAGATAACAAGACTCACTCCACCCTACAACCCTTGGGAATTACAAGTGATGCTATGACTTGGACAGGAACCTCCTCCATGTCCAGCTCCTTCCTCCAACTACTCTCTCACCACCAGCAGAATTCCCCAGTAGGTTCCTACTGGCAGCTTGTCAGGCCTCCTATCCTCCCATGAAGTACAATTCTGCAAATGGCAAGGTCTTTGAAGGGAGATGTTTTGTAAATACGGGGCTTTCCAACCTTGAGATCCCCCAAGACTCTCTGGGAAGGCTCCTTGGATATCAGGAAGGATGGGGCCGTCCCCCAGCCCTCTGATTTCCCACAGCACATTCTGGGAGTCAACAGCCCTAGCATCAGGACCCTTGTCTCTGAGGCAAGTGTCTGTGGCTCCTTAAAACATACTGTTTGCATATTACGGTTCAGCTTCACCTCGTGAACCTGAGGGCCAAGTGTCCTTTCTAAAATTCAAACAGGAGTTACGAGTTGCTAGGGCTCAAACCAGGCCAAAGGCATGCTTTGTTTAGCACAGACAGTTGTAGTTTTTAATCAGGAGATATTACATAAAAATAAAATTAGATAAAATGAGACCCCAGGCCTACGTTCCCATATAGTGAAGAGTTGGCAGGACCCACACAGCAGCTCTCCAGGTCACCATAGTCCCCACCACTCCCTATCACCTGCCACCTGGCCTCTTCAACACCTGCTTGGCCTTCCTGGCATCTGACCTTGCAACCCAAGGTGAAAGGCTGATGGGAGGAAACCCAGGGGACTCTTCATTCTGCCTTTCCCAGCCCGGATGCCCTGTAGAGCCGGCAGCGAGGCCCATGAAGTGCATCTGAACCCAGCCCTGTCCACGAGCTGCAGGCTGGGAGCCTTACCTCTCATGGCACCAAAACCCAGGCTTCCCCACCCTGCATGTCCAGGCTGCAGCTAGCAATGCACTCTCTCTCCCTTCACCTGGCACTGGATGGCTCAGGCTTCCTGAAGATTCTTTCACAATTAAGGCACTTCAAAAAGGTTAAAAGGGAGGAATCAGCAGGGAGTGGGGGTGGGAGGGATGGAAGGTGGTGGGTGGGATGGAGGAATCTGACCAGTGATATTTAATAAAAAGCTTAAAAGCCACAAACAGGAAGCAGGCAGACTAAAAAGTCAACATTGACCAGACGAAGGAATGTGAACTCTAGTGGACTGAGGCAGTGTCCCTATACCCCTCCTCCCTCCACTCCCACCCCAGCACCCCGAGAGGCTCCCTCCACTCCTACCCCAGCACCCTGAGAGGCTCCCTCCACTCCCGCCCCAGCACCCCGAGAGGCTCCCTTCACTCCCACCCCAGCAGCCCAACCAAGACTCCTCTTGGTTCTTGCCTGCCCTGGGAATACCCCAGCTCTGAGTTTGCCTTGGGCTACAGGAAGGGAGCTCAGGGGAGGTCAGCGTGATCCTAGCAGTTCCCAAAGGAGAAGACCATAAGCTCTTCCCTCTGCCTGGTCCAGCAGGGCCCCAGAGCTGTTTAGGGGAAGGATCAGTGCTCCTCAGTATGGCCCCCGACCCAGCTGGAAGAATCCCGGGATCCTTCCCTCCCAGAAAGCTCACAATAGCCCAGGCAGGCATAGGCACGAGGCCCTTGGGGACTGAGGTCTGGACGCTGGCCTGTCTGGCTCATGCCCCCTGCATGCTCCCTGGAGTCCAGAGAGGGGCCCTGTGGGCTCCAGTCTCTGAGGACAACCCACAGCCAAACTGAAGCGATGCACAAAGACTCCTGTTTGGCTGAGGTGAGGACTCAGAGCCACTATGGAGAAGTGGGGAGGACAGGACAGAATTTTAGAGCTTCACCGCTGGAGGCCTCCCATGGCTGGGTGCCTCTGCCTCCCTTGCCCCAGCCCCACCTTGACAGAGGCCTTAGGGGCTGCTAACAGGGAACAAAGTGCCCTGGAGAAGCAATGCCTCTGTGACCATTGCCCTTGCTCATGAGAAGGCAGATGCTATCTCTGGGCAGTGGAAGGACTTTGAAAGGAAGGGGTTCCCTGGCAAGGCTGTCAGGAGAGGGAAGGGTGCTCATGCCACCTGTGAGCACGGAGGCAGCTGGGGTCTCTGTTTTCCAGCTGGAGCCAGGGCACCACCTTCTCTTTAGGAGATTTGACACAAGAAGCCATAAACCAACCTTGGTTGTTCCCCTGATCCAAACCTCCCCACAGCTTTCCATCCTCACAGGATCAACCTCGAGTCCTGGAGTTATGTAGAGGACAGTAACATGTCAATATAAAATCAGGAGTGGGTAAAGGTGTTCCCTGTAAAATCTTCAACTTTGCTGTATGTTTGAAAATTTTTGTAATTTTTACTGTATTATGAAATACAACAGAATTGTACTGGATTGGTTGTATCTGGTACAATTGTACAGGAGATAAAGGACAGTGGGGAGCTGGGGGTGGTGGCACACAACTGAGTCCCAGCTATTCAGGAGGCTGAAGCAGGAGGATGGTTTGAGCCTGGGAGGTCAAGGCTTTAGTGAGCCTTGATTGCATCACCACATTCTATTCCACAGACAGGGTAAGACCCTTTCTCTAAAAAAAAGATAGTGGCTCATGACCCATTCATACGAACACAGGCTTTAGTCCTTCCCACGGTCCCCAGCGCACAGTATGAACCCTGGCCTATGTCCTGCACACCTCTCTGCTCAGCACACTTTTGCCAAACAACTGACCTGCAAATGCACTTGAAGCTCACTGTCACCTCAGGACCTTAACATTCACTTCCCCCTCGCTGTGGCATGCTCTCCCTGACTACCCATGTGGCTCCTTCCCTCCCTCTGTCCTTCCCTGATCACCCTATCCAAAGCAGCATGCTCAGCAATTCCATCTCGTCCCTGCTTTATCTTTCTACGTGGTGCCTACTCCCATCTGACAGGGATTTCTTTAGTATGTTTATTGTTTGTACCTTCCTACAACTGTAAGCTCCATATCCCCAGCACCAAGCACAATGCTTGCAACACAGAAGAACATGATGCAGTGTAGGCTGAATAAATGCACAAGTGATTGAAGGATGAGTTCACTGACAAAATCCAAGGGCTCTCCAGCAGCAAACACACACCCTCTGACCCAGCCCACGGAGAGGCCCCAGCACAAACTCAGCAGGTGGTGCTGAGCCTGGGGGTCTGTGCTGGGCAAAGGAGGGTGACAACTCACATCCCTGGAAACCTTACCACGTGCCAGGACAGTATGCCAGGCCCCCAGCGGTCTCCCTCACCTGCTCTTCTCCAAACTGCCTGTAGGCTCAATCTTATTCCCGCCTCCACAGAGAAACCAAGGTGCGGGCCCAAGGCCCCCTCAGATGGTAAATGGTGCAGTGGGAACTCAGACTCCAATCTTGACCCTGCTCAGACCAGATCTTCACTCCACATCCAGGCTCTTCCCAGAACCCATACTGGCTTCCCAGCCAGAGGCCATGCTGCCAGGCAGGCCAAGTCACCCCGTGTCTCGGCAAAGGCAGGATTAGGAACCTAAGCCAAGGAGCGCCACCTTGGCATCACCTCTGCCATCTCTCTGTGCCCTGCACGGTGTCCCTAAACCGGGAGGAAGTGGCTGCACTTACCTGGGATGTGGATCTTGAACTTGCCGCTCTGGCCGAAGGCACTGTCGATGATGCCCAGTTCCCCAGTGGACAAGTGCACCTTGAGCCCCACGAAGAGCTGGATGTTGGTTTCCTTTTTGAACAGGGAGCGGCCGATCACACTGTAGTCATCCATCGCCTGTCCCCACACACCCAGCCACAGAGAGAGGGCATTAGTGGTGCACACTGAAAGAGCTGTGACTGTGTGCCTAGCCCCAGCTCTCCCGGGCCCTAGGCATGGCTGGCTGCTGCCCGCTCTAGGAACCCTGTGGGTAGCCTGGTGATGAGCCCACCTAACAGATAACAAAATGCATGGGAGCAGGGCAGAAACCTGAGACTGGCAACTGCCACTATAACAACGGGCCCTTCAAAACAGGCATGCTGTGAGCACTTTCCACAGATAGCACCTCAGTCCCCACAGCAGCTCTGTGGCGCCACTTTACAGATGAGGAAATGGAGGCACGGCAGAGTTCTGTCATCTATCCAAGGTCACAGAGCACAGGGGATAGAAGTAGCTTTGAATTCAAGCCCCTGTTGCAGGCCCCCCCCACCCCTGGGGGGCCACAATGACCCAGCCTGTCCCCAGGGCACCTGCCCAGAGCACTCTCCTTGAAGCTGTCACAGTCACCCGGGCCGCTCCTGAGCCTGCATCCAAGGCCTTCTAGAACTGGCCTCCTCACTCTGGTTTCCCCTCCCACAGGAGCCCGAGAGCCTGGCCTTTGTCTCCCACCCGCTGCACACACCCCTATGTACAGTGGCCCAAGGCTTTACTCTTGCTCACTCTAGCTGTGCCTGGAAGCCTGTCTTGGCCTGGCCCACTTTTCCTCCACAGCCCTACCTCCCTACCTCCATGACACCCTCCCTCAGTCCAGGCAGAATTGCTCGTTTCCCTGGCCCCTGTTGGCCATGGCCAGGTCTTTGCAGAGCTCATACCTCCTGCTGGCCATGTTGGCCGCTGCTGTCTCTTTGTGGGTGCCCAGGCTGAGAGGAGGGACACACATGTCTGTGAAAAAGTCAGCTTGGTGCAGCCCTGATTTCACCATGAGCTATGTTCATCCTGAACCTTCTCCCTAGAGGCTTGATCAGCGACTGGAAGTGTCACTCCCTCCCTTCTGAGTCTCTGGCAGCTCCAGCCCAGGTACTGCTTTTGGGATGGCAGCATGGCCAGGTGGCCTTGCCTGCCCCACCCAGCTCCTCACCCCACCCCTGCTCTGTAGATCCTGCCTCCAGTAGCAAACTTGGGCCCCATGATAAGAAGTGCCCACCAGTCTGGCAGCTGTTATGGAAATGAGCAATGCACACACCATCTGGACCATCAATTTCACTTCTAGGAATGCATCCCGCTGATGTGCTTGCTGGAGAAGATGTCAGGAGAAGATGGGAGCTCCACCCAAGGTCACTCACTGCAGCAGCAAAAGCTGACAATGACTTAGAAGTCCAGCCTGAGTTCAAGAAGTGGAGCACAGCCTCTAGAGATGATGATGTGACCACAGAGGAGAGTAGGCAGTGTGTATGGACAGATACAAAAACCAGAGTATTGTGTTTCACGTTAAAAAGAAGAGTGAGAGGCAAAGGGCATGTTGCAGGCTGTGTATGGATGGGGGCAGGGCAGAGGTGGATACACAGAAGGAATCAGGAGAAACTGATGCCTCCAGGAAAGGGAGCAGGGTGCCTGGGGACTTTTCACCATACACCTTTTCTATCTTTGGCTACTGAAATACATGAATGCATCACCTGTTTACAAATAAGTTAATAGAATTTAAAAATGTAAAAACAAACCAAGAAGTGCATTTCTTCTACACACACACCAGGCGGACCTCCCATCCTCTCCTGACATCTTCTCCAAAGACAGAACATTTTCCTTTGATGGCTTCTGGTCCAGCAAGGGTGACAATTGCAGCCCTCTGTCCCCACCCAGGCAGCTTTAATCAGTTCTCATGCATTGTGGTCACCCCAGAGAGCTACTACTCGGGCCTCTGCATAGCTAGGCCCTGGGGTTACATCTGACTGAGAAATAAGACCTGTCCTCCAGCATTGCAGTGGCCAAGAAACAAAAAAGGCACAGTCCCTGGACTAAGAGCTTACAACTTTCTCAGAGAAACAGCTTGTAAGAGGCCCCACCAGGACCAAAGGGATAATATACGCAGGTATCCTTAGCAGAGCAGAAAGTTCTCAACAAGCTGATATTAATATTCTTGTTTTATTCCTATAAGAGCCTACCATGAAACGGGCCTGTAGCTGTGAACAATCACATGTACTACAGGAAAATAACAGAATTCTCCCTCCATCTCACAGCCCACAGCCTTTGCACTTCTCAGCGACAGATCCTATGAGCTCCCCATCTCTATGCAGCCCCTGGTGCCCAGCAGGGCCTGGCCCTGAGCAGGCTCAAATCAAGGCCTGGTGCCTACAGCGTTCCCTGTGGCCCATGGCTCCCTCTTCCTGTACTCCAGCCCCTACTCCTCTCCAATCTTCATCCTGCCCTGTCTCTCTTCAGAGCACAGATTGCCACCTGACGTTATGCCTTTGACCTTATCTGTTTACTTGTTTATTGCTTCCAACCAGGCACAAGCTCCAGGCAGAAACATGTTCCTCTCCTCCATAGCTACATTCCCTGCACATAAAACAGGCGCTTACTATCTATTCCTTGAATGTGTGAGTAAATGTTGCAAGAATACATGGTTGTAGTTGTTGGTACATTTGCAAGGCTCACTCATGCCTGTAGGCTTTTTTTTTTTTTTTTTTTACAGCTTCATTCAGCTATAACTGATACACAATAACATGAACATATTAAAAGTAAATAATTGGATAAGTCTAAATATGTGTATACATATACATGCCTGTGAAACCATCACCATGATAAAGCTAATGAACATATCTATCACCCCCAGGGTCCTCATGCCCCTCTGTTATGCCTCCCTCCCCGCCTGTGTGGTGCTCCTGTAATGCTAGTCCCAGCTTGTGCACCGGGGACTCTACCCCCACCCAAGGCCCACCTTGGACATTTCCTCCTTCAGACAGCTTCCCCGACATTGCAGGCACCTCCTCTCCCCTTGGCCCCCAGGACTGAGGCCAAGATCCCTCTGTTCTGAGAGCCTGGCCACTATGTCTTATCCCTGACAGCTGACCTATCTGTCTCCCTCCTCGGACTGGGAGTTCTGCGAGGAAAGGGTTCTGTGCACCTCCTGTGGCCCTGACCCACTACAGGCCTGGTGAACAGGCGCTCACTGAGTGTGAGGAGGCCAACTGCACTAGTCCCACACATGGCATCAAGGGGAAGACGCCGGGAGGTAGAAATACATTACTCAAGTGGATATGTCCTTGGGAGACACGATTCATCTGAGAGTGAGCCAACAGCCCAGCCCGGGCTAGTTTCCTCCTATCTACCTGGGAGAACACACTGACAGATCAATTCACGTCCCCAGTGCTGGTTCCCTCATGCTAAACACAGCAGGCCCATCGCTCAGCCTCCCAGTGGGCCTGGAGGCCTGGCTCCAGGGTAATCAGAGCCTGGGATAGCAGGCATGCTACCTATTAGCCTTTCAGAACACGTTTACTGCATCTTCTCCCCTGCCCCCTCCTTTCTTTTGGTTATAAAATATTAACTTTAAAAAGCTAAATGCCACAAAGACAGCAGAGGATCTATCTTTCTCCAAGCCAGGGTCTTGCAATGAGGGCAGACTAATTTTATTAACTTCAGGGGAACTTCAAAAAGCTCCAGGGCTTTCATGCCAGACAGAGATGACCCCAAAGTTAGTTTAAGTGCTACATAAACAAAGGACTAGAGCCAGGGGAAGCTGAGGGCTCCCAGAGTTCCTTGTTTATGTTCTCATCTGACCTAGTGGGCCAGCACACAGGCTGGTTGGCCCCTGGAATCCTGCTGGTGTGTGGTGCAGCTCGGTTCACTGACCTACATTCCCACAAAATTGTTTTAAGCATCCGGGATAAGGTGAGGAGTGAGTGGGCTTTTTTTGACCTTCTGAGGAGGGCCTCTGGGGCTGGAGTGGCAGTTTAGAAAGGATTTCAAGTTCAAAGGGAGTGTCTCTGTCACTCCTGCTCTCTTGTTTTATGGCTTGGCCAGAAGACATGATAGTGCTGAGTGGGTGAAGCATACTCTCCTGCGAACTTCTGTGTCCGCAGTTCCATTTGTGGGGGAGGCACCGTGAGGGCAGGAGCTGGACGTCTGCACACGTTCAGGAACCCCGTGTGGTCTCGAGAGTGCTGGCGTCTTCTGCCTGCTGGTGGCCCCACACTGTCATTTCACAGCAGCTGGGTGGATCTTTGCATTTGTGTCAGTCCCACAGAGGACACTGGCACTCTGGGCATGGCTGCCCCAGGGGAGGGGAGGCTGGAGCAGCAGAGAGAAGTCAGCAGGTAAATCCCATCTCCCTCCAACTCTCCCAATCCTTCGCACTCTGCTCTCTCACCCCTTTCCCAGCAGCAGGTGAGCGGCAGTGTCCTCAGCCATGTCATGGGTGAGGTGTCCCCATATCATTATTTAATCTTTAGGAAAGCCCTGTCGGGAACAGGGGGCTCAGTAAAATGAAATGATTTGCTCAAAGTCACGCAGCTAGTGAGTGTGGCAATGCCCCATTCCAACTCAGACTGTCTGGATCCAGAGGCTGGTGCTTTTCCTGCTGCAGGAAGGGCTGGGCCCTGTCTGCCGGGAGGTGCCGAAGCAGCAAATGAGCCCAGACGACTTTCTCCATCCTTTGGGCTCACCAGAGCCATGTCATGACTGACTGGACACAAATGGGCCTAGAAGTCCGGCCCAGGGGCACTGGGCAGCCCCATCCCTGCTAGTCCCAGTTGTGGGAAACCCCAAGTCATTGCAGAAGACAATCCCCAAGTTCAGGGACCCCAGCCCCCACCAGGTTATTTGGAAGGGAGGAGGAGAGGAGGGAAAGAGGGCAGATCCTGGCCCTCAAGATGCAGCACTTATAGTGGGGCCCAAACACTTCACCATCACAGGAAGGTGTTCCAGCCCAGTCAGCCCCTGCCACACTGAGAAGGACTGCACTGCTGTTGGAGGGAGGCTAAACTTTCCCCACCTATGGTTATAGGGGCCAAGAGGAAAACTACCCTTCCCATGAATTCCAAATACTCAATTTCCAGTAAAGTCTTTACTTGGTGTCATCATAAGTTCTTAGAAACTGTTACTTTAAACAAAATAATGTACAGTAGGCCCTTAAATAATGTTGCTTCATTTAAAGTTATTTGAATATATATCAAAGTTATTTTGTTATAACATGAATGAAAAAAATAGATTGGTTTTGTTATACGTTCTTTCCCTTAAACTCATGGTTTCCAAGAAGCTAGTGACAATGTTAAGTGAGGATTTACTGTACAGGTCTCCATAACTGGAAAAAAATGGGCACACTGGAGACAATAGAATAAGAGAAAAGGCACAGCACTGTTTACATCACAGGTTAGAACCTGGACTCTAGAGCCAGACTACCTGCATTCGAATCCCAAGTCTGGGTGCCTAGGCACTCTGGCCAGAGGCCTAACCTCTGTGGGTGCAGGCATCTCTCCATCTATAATATGGGGAAACAGAGTTGCTGGAGGTTTAAATGGGTGCTGGGGAGCACTTGTAAACAGTTGTTGTTGGTCTGGCCTCTGCCTGCCCCCTCCCTGGGCAGACCAGTCTCCCTCCCTTAGGACTCCCTCAGACACACCACACAGGACTACAGGGGCAGCAGATGCAGGGCCTGTGCACCCCTGCGACTCAATGGCCGCCACCTGCAGATCTGAGAAGACATCGCTGACTAATGGAAGGCCCCCTCTAAGAGACTGCCGGCCTCAGAACCAGACAGAGGGTTGCGCTGGGAATTGGCTACAGAGAAGCCTGTGTGCCTGTCTCTCAGCACAGCAGTGGCTTGTCTACGCCAGCCTCACCAGCTGGATGCGGGGAGGGGAGGAAGGCAGTCCTGGAAGGCAGGAGCTGGTCTGAGCACATTTTTGCATCTCCAAAACCTACACCTCCGGAAATTACTGCTGTGTGTACTGGGGGCAAGGACTCAGTGATTGTCAGCTGCATGAAACCTCATTTAATCAGAAGGAAGTCTGGCTAGAAAGAGGGAGACAGCTCCTACATTCCTACAGGATGCTGTGAGGCCTACATCTCTGGAGAACTTCAGGAAGACCAGGGGTCATGATCTGTCCTGAGTGTCAGGAGGTGAGGATGGGGGAACATGGCTTTGCTCTGTCCTGTCCATCACTAGAAGGTGTGTGCATGCATGTGTGATGGTTGGGTTCTTCACCAAATTATAGATTCTTCCAGCTAAAGGAAAGAGACCTCAGAGATCAGACACAAGCACATCCAATGAGGAAAGACCTTCAGAGAACAGTTGGAGGGTTTTCATTTTGAAATCAATCATTGTGACGTCAAACCAAAGGCAACGCATGTGGGATCTGCTCAATAGGCCTTGCTTCTAGGGAACAGTCCTGAATCCAGGCCAGCACAGTTACAACAATGGCGCTAAGTGGGGATTCTCACTGTTTGCATGAATAATTTGCTCTATTTATTAGCCTTCAGTCACTGGAGGGACTGAGCTCCTGAGGAGCAGTCACTGTGCACATGGAAGTCCAGGCGCTTGCTTACACGCCAGGTGGGTCCCCATTGTCCCTGGCCTTTGAGCAAGGACTTGGCTGCCGGTGCATATAATTATGTCATTACACGTGTGTGTGTCCCTCTTTCAGGGCTTGGCTCCCATGATGAGGCTTGGGAATTGCCCAAGCTGTGAAGTGACCATTCTAATTCAAATTGTAGAAGTGATACGAAGGAAGGCAGGCAAACGTGCCATGAAATGGAGCCCTGTGCCGATTCCAGGTCTGTGGTGAGGAGAACCACGTGCGCAGGACAGGAAGGGCTTGGGAGGCCTGACTTCTGACTCTGCCTCTTACAGCTCTATGACCTTGAGCGAGGGACTTCTCTGAAACTCAGTTTCCTCCTTGAAAAAGGTTGTTGTTAGGATCAGGGGTGTTGATGTTGATGATAACACCTAAGACTTGACAGAGAATGGATGACCCAGAGGAAAGAATCTCAATTAGTGGATGTCAAATTGTGGGAGAAGCAGAAGAATAAGACAGCATTTGGTGCAGGAGATCTCAGATGCACAGAAATCACAAGATCCAGTTATCTAATCTGCCCAAGAGAAGCCAGAAGAACAGAACATGTACTCAACACCAACCACATGCTTGGAGCTGCCCACAGCTCTCTGCTTCTCTCCCTCTTACCCACCCCACCAGCAAAGTCTTCTCGGAGGACAGAAGCCAGCAGTCCTTGGATCCAATGAGGAATGGGAAGAACTCAGAGGCTGCCTGATCATGGATGAGTCCCTTAAAAATGCGGTGTTAACTCTTCTAGGCCACTTGAAAGCCACCAGGATTGACAAATTCTGGAAGGGGACCTAGGATGATGGTGTTGTTCCAGTATCATCAGAAAACTTTCCCCACGGACAGTGTCTCCTCCTCAATGCAGGCCATGGTCTGGTGTGGTGGGAAGAGCAGAGGCCCTGAAGTAGCCCAGGTCTCATCAACGCCTGACCAGCTCTTAAAGAAGAAACAGGTTCTGGGGGAGAGTGACTTGCCCACGGCCACATCGAGCTTGTGCCCAGCTCAGTCCATCAGTTTCCAGAACTGGCTCTTTCCAGCACATCAAGCTGTCCTGACCCTGTGTCTCTATATGGGCAAAAAAGCAATTTTCAAAGGAAGGTGAACAAGCACTCCAGCAGCCAAGCAAGACACTTAGCTATCACAGCCTGATACTGGAAGTCAGAAGAAACGCTGAGGATTTGGGCTGGGACCAGAATACCAGGGCAGCCATTTGATCATCTCCCTGGGGAAAGAGCTTCTCAACCTCTGTTTCAGGGGAACCTCTGTTTTCTCAAGTAGCCTGGGAGCCAATGTGGCCTTCAACCCTCTGGCAGGGACCCAGGGGAGCGAGGGCCAGCAGAACAGGCTCAGTGGCCAGCTAGACCACAGCATGGCTTCCTGCAAGGGCGAGGGGCCCTGCAGCTGACCCGCTAGGGCCCACCAAGCCTGCCAGACCATCCCTGCTGAGAATGATGGGGCCCAAGCTGTGCCAGAGGCAGGTCATGAGCCAGCCTGCACCCCAGGCCAGCACGCTCCCTGGTGCCCTGGGCACATTTAACAAGCCGTCAGCAGTGGAGTGGGGCAGAGCCAGGAGCCAGGAGGCAGCGCCGCTTCAGACTTCAAAGCTGGCGAGTGCTCCTGATGGCGTCTGCATGTTTACACTTGGTTGGGCCAATGCTGCCAGCTCCTGTGGCCCAGCCCTAAGGCCTTCCCTGACCGGCGCCAGTGGGTGCCAGACCCAGGATGGCTGGCACACCTGGCCTTATCCCACCACTGTGGAAGGGGGATGGTGTCTGCTATCACCCTAGCTGGGAACCCAGGCATCTGCATTTCCAGAGGAAAGTCCAAATAAATAGTACTGATGATACCCACTGTTTACCCAGGGCCCATTCTGTGCCAGGTGGAGTACTCAGCATGTTACATATAGCACATATACCTGCCATGTCCTGGGACCCAACTGCCAGCCAGCTAACATGCTAAGGTTGGGTATTGTCTTTGTCCTGCAGGTGGTGTGGACCTAAAAGAGATTTCTGAGTAAGAGCTGGCAGGACCCCCTTTGTTTTGCAGAAAATTACTGGGGTGGAGCTATGCATGCTGCCAGGGGCAAAGAGGGCTATGGTGAGACCCATGAGAAGGTGGTGGCTTGGGGAGGTGAGGAGGGCATCCTGGGGCGTGGTAACAGTGAGAAGTCTGCTGTGGAAGCCAGCAGGTATTGCAGAGCACTCACTGTCCTAAGCACCAGACCCTCACCTCCTCCTTCATGTTCACACAGTCCTGAAAAGTCATGATTTGTTACTAGTGGAGAAGCCTGGCTCCATAGGGTGAGTGGCTCCCAGACCATTGAGCTCTGCGGCTCCAGACGACCAGGTGCCCAGAGCCTCAGGGCGAGACTGGGATACAGAAGGGTAGGTGAGAGAGGCTGAGCCTCCCCTCTCTAGGCTGCCTGGGCCGGCCCTGCTCCAAGGATTTCTCTAGCACAGGTGACCTAGAACACCCCCCATAGCCCCCAACCTGCATTACTCCCCCCTGCAGGGTGAAGGGCCTAGCTTCGATGGCTGGCCCTGCCTGCCTCTTTAAGCTCCCTGTCCCTGCCCTCCCAGATGCCCAGGGCCAGGCATTATTTGGCCTCTATGCTTTACAGAAGCAGTCCCTGGACCTGGAATGCCCCTCCTCCACCTTCCTGTTTCCCCACATGGCCCCTAGTGTCTGTGCAGTGAACCTTCCAGTCTTACAAGATACACTTAAAAGGTCACCATTTTGTGCTTTTCCCTCACCAGCCTACTTCCTCCCACCTTGGCAGAGTTCCTTGTTTCCTCTCCTAGCCCTCTGCATATTCCTCTGATGCAGGCATGAGTCTCTGTCCTCCACTAGAAAGACCCAGTTTTCTATGAGGCTTTGGATCACTAAAGGAGGAGCAGCTGGTCTGAATCTGCATGTGGCTGAGATGCAAGTAACCTCCTGGGGACAGGACCCAGTGGTTCCAGCCTCGGCTTTTACACATCCTTCACCCCACATCATTTTTGCCAGATCTTTGCATACCCGACCTACTATTTACCTAATATATTTCTTTACATCTGCCTGGAAAGGAGACTTTATATAGTATCCTAAAGAAAAGAGTCACTAACCATAAACAGAGGAAGCTAATAGTAAAAGTACATACCATGCAAAAAAACCCCCAAAGAATAATCCTAGTTACATACTATTGCTACTAGAAGGCTCTGGAATCTTGGTCTTGTTTTCCATTTGTTAAAAAGCAGGTTAGAATGTAATAGAGGACTGTTAAAGACATCTTTGAACAAATCTAAAGCTTTCTCTGCAAAGTAATCAAAAGATTGAAAGAACACTGAAAAAGAGAAAAATTTTATTACTAAGATTCAACATTCTATGATAGTATGAGAAACAGCCTTAATCAAATGAGGAGCAATTTACTAGAATATGTGAAAGAATGAACACACACACACACACGCACACACACACACACGCACACGCACACACACACACACACGCATGCACACTTTGTATCTCTCCATATCTGCCTATATCTATATATAACTGCTTTGTTTCTCATTTTAGTGGTTCATGATTTTACTTTCTAAAATCTATTAGGGTTTTTTCTCTGTGGCCACAAATACAACTACAATCTAAGTTCCATGTGGGCAGAGATTTTGTCTTTTTCATTCACTGTTACCTCCCTAGCCCTTAAGACAACACACAGTAGATGTTCTACAAATATTTGTTTAATGTCAACTGCTGAATATTTAGTTTTGTAAATGTTCCAAGCCATAGGAAAAAAAATGTATACTCTATTCAAGGAGTGTAAGAGTTTACATTTATCTAAAAATCAAGCTTATTGAATATATTCTGCCTCGTTGTCCTTATGTCTAGTAGGCCTGATTTTAAAATATGGACTCTGAAGTGCCACCCTATCATTATAATTCCATCTTTTATCAAGCTGTCCCTAGGTTTCTACTGTTTTATTTTTATGTTTGGTATGTACAAGTTTATAACCGAGCCTTTTATCGTTACATGATGTCCTTCTTTACCTTTGTCAGTATTTAACCCAATCTCTCAGCGTTAGCATTTAAATAGAATTTGGCCATTCACATTTAGTGTAATGACTGATACTTAATGTTGTTCCTTCTGTTATTATTATTATTTATTAACATTGTTCTTTTTTCCTTATTTTTGTTGGTTTAATCAAATTCATTCCAGTTTCTCCTCTGAGAATGTGAAAGTGCTATTACATTTTCACTGCATTCATATAGTTTCTTTCCCTTTCTCTGTACTCAAAATCTTGCACATATTTCTATATTTTTACTTTGAAACAGGATACCAACTATTTCCCTTATCACCATATGCTCTAGTAGTCTTTCCTAAACCCTCTCCCCAGAAAGATTAGCCATTTAGAACACTTTCACTTCTTTTCTTCTCCCACTCAGGTGAGACCTCTGGATGTCTCTACCAATCCAAGCTCCCTCTTCTTCTTTTTTTTTTTTCTTCATTAACCCTTTATTACAAGTCACACTCTTATAGAAGTACACGTGGACTTATGTGAAAAAATCAAATGTATCCAAGAATAAAAAACACAGCACATAAAGTAGTATATGCATCCCAGTGTTAGCACAGAGACAGTGGGCACCCAAGAAAAAGCCCAATTCCTAAGGACTGCTGAGAGGGTTTAATGCTTTCAGCTGCAGATAATTATTAGCATTTTCCTCGCAGGGTGCTCATTCTATTTCAAGAGCCCTATTAACCATTTATATTAGGGGTTGGAAAACTATAGCCAAAGGGTCAAATTCTTCCTGATACGTTTCTGTATGGCCTGTGACCTAAGAAGGGTTTTTATATTTTCTAATGAGTTGGAGAATATCAAAAGAATATTATTTTGTTACATGTGAAAACTATATAAAATTTAAATTTCAATGTTCACAACAAAAGGTTTTATGGGAACACAGTCATGCCCATTTGTTTACATATTGTCTATGGCTGCCTTTGTGTCACAGTGGCAGAGTTGAGTAGCTGAGTCTGAGACCTGATGAGGTGCTCAGTAAACTACAGATGGTGGTAACATAGTTACAACTTGCAGTACCTCACCCAGTGACACATTTTATTTATTTATTTATTTTATTACTGGTGCATACCCATCACATGAAAACAAGAAAAGTGGACTTCAAATGTCACACTTTTAAGGCGCAGTGGGTATGGATTATTATTTTATCACATTACATGGCAAAGTACTGTGTTTGTTATTAGTTGTGTTAACAGAATATGAGATACACTGACATCACGATATTCCCATCTCACAGAAAAACAATGTCAAAAAAGAGAAAACTTAAAACAGTATATTTCATCATAGCAGACACGCAAAACAATAAAAAATAAGAATAAGGCTGCAACCAAAGTAGGTTTCCGGGTGGCTCATTTGTTAGCCAAGCAAGGAAAGCCATTTACCAATGGTAAGTTAATTAAATTGTGTTTGATCGAAGCAGCTGAAAGAAGAATCCAGAGAAAATAAGCTTGTTTAAGATTATTAGATTTGGAGCAAGAGCAGTTGTTTAGGTTTGGCCCATGGGCCATAGTTTGCTCTATGTAATACTAATGAGTTAAGCCACAACTGGTAGGGTACCTGACCAGCTTCCAGTGTGAGCCAGTGATGCAGACGCACAGGAAATAAAAACACAGTCTGCAGAGGCTTGGAAATTAGCATCTTCTGTGTTTCAATAACTGTCCTCAGCATCACATATTTACATCACGCTGTTATTTTCTTTCTAGACCTTATTATAACCTGAAAATGTCTAATTTACTGTTCACTACTAGCCTCCCCTAGGAAGACAAGAACTTTGTCTATCTTGTTGTATGCACAGTGCCTGGCACAAACGTAGGAGCACAGTAAACATCCGAATATATGAATGAAGGATGCCTTTATAGGAAATGGGATCAGAAGGCCTATATGCCTTAAGCCCCCCTGGCGGAAAGTGCTCACTTAACACATAGGTATAGTGCCAGGGTCTCCCTTTGTGATGAACTGAGATAGCTCAGAGACCCAAGCCCAGGTTCTCAGAAGGCTAACTGTGCTTGCAAAGTAGATGTGCTGGCCTTGCCCCGAATCACAGAGCAAAGGCTGGGTGCTGGCTCACCAAGGTGGTGGAGATTCTGCCCAAGAGACTGGATTTCACCTTTTCAAGATTCTCTGATCTTCCAGAAACTTCTTTGAATAGACATGTCCAGAAAGCTGACTAGTAACTGTGATGTGCCCAGGAATTTTTAGAGTCAGCCAAGCACGGTGGGGAAAGAAGAGCATAGGGCACTTCTCTGGCCCCTGCGCTGGATAACCACACCCATGAGCCTACCAGACTCTCAGCCCCTCCCTCTTCAACCAAAACTGTGTGGCTCCTGATAGGGACCAGGGGGATTGGCTCCTGTGCTTCAAAGAGAAATAATGGAGTCCCAGGGAAAAGAGTGGACCCACGCTCCAGGCATTATTATTTTGACTCTAAGAGCTTAAACATTAATAATGATAAAACAATAACGATGCAGTAGGAGACAAGCACTGATCTCAGAACCTTATGTGCAATCCCCCATCTCACCTTCATCTAACCCTGGTGCAGCACTGTGAAAATTCCCACTTAACATGGAAGTCTCATGGTCTGCTCAACTTTTCACACTAGCAGGTGGTAAGGCTGGGAGTAAATAAAGCCCAGGCTTGCACATTGGACCAGTCTGTCGGATGGCTGAGCCCCTGGTCAAGCAAGATGACCTGAAAATCTCTGGGTGATCTGGGGCCTACTCAAAGCAAACAGGGCTGCCCCTTTGGAACAAACTCAGCCAATCACTCAGGAGCTGCAACAGGAACACTACCTTCTTGCTTCACCTGATGAGAGTCGGCTCTTACATATGAAGCCACAAGCTATGGTGGCTCTTTCAAAACAACCTGATGAGGTCAAGACCATCCTTCGAAGGAATGAACAATTGAGATTAAATGGCTGCCCAAGGCGTACAGCTGTTTTGGGTACAGCAAGGGCTTGAGCCTACTCTGTATGATCTCCAAGTTCCACCTTACCAGGAAGGAAAGTCTCCCACCAAGGAGATTCGAGCTTTTCAAGAGAACGCAGACTCTTTTGACACACTGGGCAAGAATCTGTCTGACAAAGTGGAAATTTCATGACTCAAAAGAGACCAGCTAGTCCTGAGTTCAAACTCCAGCTTTACTACCCTGTGACCTTGGGCAGGTCACTTCACATTTCTTGGGCTGGTTTCCAGTCTGGCTGCCTTTGGGGAGGGGACCTGGGTTCGTAGGAAGAAAACTTCCTTACACTGAATAATTATTGTCTTGTTTGAAATTTTTTACCATGTGCATATATTACTTTTCCTAAATATTTGCACATAATTTGATTGATTTAATTGGGGAAAAATGTACATAGGAAAAATAATGACCTCTTCCTCAGGGTTATTAAACGGTTTCAAAATAAAGTATGTAGCTAGTAAAGGCGCATAGTATATGCTTAATCAGTAGAGTGGTGACAGAGTGGAGGGAGGCAGGAGGCAGGCTCATTCCTGCCCTGGGGCCCAGAGGAGAGCATGTGGCACAGAAGCCCCAGCCTACAGCCAGCCCCTAGCATTAAGGCAGGTGCCCATTCAGCTAGAGCCTCAGGGGGTTGCGAGTTGGGGGAGCTGCTCCTAGCCTGGGCACCCATGCCCTTTCCTCCCTTGTGGAGCCTCAGGAAGGCCTTCTTCCTCGACCAAAGCCCTGGGCTCATAGGATCTCACCTCTGCACACATCCACAGTCACCCTGTGAGGCTGTCCCTGGTTGGAGGAAGCCTGTCTCTGCTCAGGGTTGTCTATATGGGATTTGGACTCAGCTTCTGTGGACTGCCTACAGTTCTTGTGCTTCCACTTCCAGCCTCCCTGGACTGAGCAGGAAAATGCTGGTGGCCCCAGGTTGGTGGAAGGACATAGGCCAGGCATGTCTCCTGGCCCCTCCCTCAGCCCTTCGGAGGCATGAGTCATTGAGGCCATATGTTTACTTGCTCCTCACAGACCCTCCCTCCCAGTTCTCAAAGGAAGTGACTGCTGCACCGCTGTTGACAGGCCTGAGTGGGAGCAATTAGACCCAGGAGCCACACCAATTGGGATATTACTCTCTCATAGATATTTTACTATAGAATAATTATACTCCAAACACTGCTAATAAATCAGGCTAGACAAACGAGTGACACACACTTTATCACCTTCATCTTCAATCAGCATCTTGGGGCTGGCCTAAGGCTGATGGAGCCCTGAGCAGGCCCCAGCGGCCCCCCCGGAGCTAAGGGTCCAAGCTCTGGGTCTGAGGAAGGGAGAGGAAGGGGTTGCTCCTCAGTCCCCCACTTGAGGGCAGGTCTAGGTACAGGGGCAGGAAAAGAAGAGGGCCAGGGTGGAGCACCCAGGAAGAACCTAAGACAAGGAGAAAGGGAGGGGAAGGGGCTGCAGTGACAGAGAATTCCAGACGAGAAAACCAGTGGATTTTCTCCCAGAGGAGAAAACCTGTGGACGGAGACCTGGAGCGGAGGGTGGGCGATGGAAGCCCACCACATGTGACACCGTGGATGGGCCAGATGTTGTGCTGGCACCTGCACTAAACCCAGGGGACCTCATCAGGCTCCTGTGAGGAACTGAGGCCCTTGTTGAAAGCCTCAGGGCAGACCCCTCCTGCTAGGAGCCTGAGCCCCCGACAGTGGGGTTGCCAGCACTCCGTGCTCTTTAAGCCAGTCAAAGCCCAGTCATGTCCCAGTACAGCTGCTGCTGATCCGCTTGGACCCACAGCCAGGGAGCTAGCCTTCTAGAAGAGACGGCAAGGTTTGGCTGTCCATCCATCCTGCCTTCAAGGCCCGATGGGCATGGATTCCCACTCAGCACTGTGTGGACAGCTGCTGGGGATGGATGCCCCATGGGAGGAGGTGATTCCACTACTTTGGGGGAGACCACCGTGTTCTGTCCACCCTAGTGGCAGGCCCATCCCACCCAGCACTGGGCCCAGGTGCTGATGCACCACAGGACCAGCCGAGGGAGGCCCAGGGCCCAGTCAGAGTCTCCTGGGACAGAGCAGGCACCACCCTGAAAGCACAAGGCCAAGGGCCGCCCAGCAAGGCACAGCCAGGGCCTCATCCTACTTCAACTAGACTGGCTCACCTACATGCCTAAGGCCTGCATCTAGCGATGGTGAACTTCAGGCACCCTAGGTAGCCAGGGGCTGGACCTCCCACTGTGTCAGCTTCCTGTACCTTCCTTCCTCTTGCTCTCTGGCACCCTTAGCCCCTTCCCCTCAGTCCACAGGTGAGGAAAGACCTGGCCACCATTAGCCCCTTCCCCTCAGTCCACAGGTGAGGAAAGACCTGGCCTGGCACCACTGATGGGCAGTGTTTCCCTCTGGACATAAGCAGCTTGCAGGGGCACATGGGCAGATCCCAGCTGGATGGAGGTACAGTGCCCACCAAGGTCAAGAGAGTGGGGCCTGATCAGGGCAGCAGGCCAGGGAAGCCAGTGCTAACCGCTGCCATCTGACACTGGCTGTGGGGGAGCCCAGACCTGCTCAGACCCATGGGTGCCACATCTACCATGTAAATAAGTGGGGGTGGGATAGCTGGGTGGGATTGGGTACAGTGGGGGTCCCCCTGCCCAGGTGCTGGCCCTGGCTCTGTGACTGACCAGCTGAGAGAACTGTGGCCACCTGACCATTCTGGGCATCAGATGCCTTGTACAGAAACTACAGAGGTTGGCACCAGAAGGTCTCTGAGGGCCTTTCTGGCTCTCATCACAGATGTCAGGCCATGGATCCCAGCTGCCCGAGCAAGAAGGGAAGGGGTGTGGGGCCAGGCAAGGGCATGCTCACCCGCTCCACAAGGCCATGCTTGTGCTTCAGCTTGTACACCTTCAGCCTGGGCAGGAAGCTGTCGGCGTAGTTCCTGTCCTCTAGCCCGTGGAGCAGGATGCCATGGAAGGCTAGCCGGCACGTGTTGGTGTGAATGTCCGCATCTAGCCTGGAGCCAATCACCAGGCACAGCCGAGGGCAGGTGACGGGCTTCTCAAACTCCACCAGGGCCCACTGCTGCCGAGGACAATGGCCCTCTGTGGCCTGGCCGGCCTTCTTGTCGGCCTCATCATTGTCTGTCACTGCTGGTGTCAAATCCTTGGACAGGTACTGCTCCTGGAAAAGGTATTCTTGAGAGAAGTTGAAAGAGTCCAGTATAGGCTCCTGGTCAAAGTTATCTGGAGCAGGACTGAAGAACATCAACCGGCCCATGACTGTTTCATGGCCCACTGTAATGTGGAACTTGGCCTTGGTTTGCAGGGGCCCCCGGAAATACGGTATCTTTTCCACAGAGATGAGGGCCGCATGGACAGTGTGCAGGGACTCGGGGGCACACACCAACCCGCGCTCCAGCAGCTTAGGGTCAAACTGGGTGACGCAGATGCCCAGCCGGTCTCCTTGCATGGCTGAAGTGATGGGCATGTGGAACATCTGCATGGACTTCACCTTCTTCACCACCTGATGGGGAGTAAGCAAGAGAGCACATGAAACCAACAAGCCTCGGGGCTGTGGGGAGGAGAGGGGAGCTGCAGCTAGAGAATCCTGTGCTTACCACCACCTGCAGGCACCGTGAGGACCAGCCAAGGGGGGTCTGGGGCCCAGGCACACTCTTCTGGACCAGAGCAGGTACCACACTGAAAGCACAAGGCCGAGGGCCGCCAGCAAAGCAGGGCCAGGGCCCCACTCTCCAAGTCTCACTGTTCTTCTGGGGGAAAGGCAGGGGTCATAGCAGCCAAATCCCTGACTACCTTAGTTCCCTTCACCCCTGCTCCAATCCAGGCTCCAGTCCCTCCAAGTTCCTCCCTTCCATCAATCATGCTAGCATTTTCCAGCCCTCTGTCCAGGTTTGCCTGCCTCCTCCCCCAAGAATGGCCTCCCCAGCTGCTCAGCTGGCCAAGCTGTGCCCATTTGCCCTCTAAAGCCCGGGACAAACACCACTGCTCTGGAAAGCCTGTCCCAACTCCCAGTGGCAGAACTTGACCCTGACTCCTTAGTGGTAACCCAGCCCCTCTGAATCCCACAGCCTGCTGCATGGTCACTGTCTATTGTGTATCTGCTGCCTGCTGGCTTGTGGGTAGCCTAGGGCAGGATCTCTCTTCATTCATTCAACACATATTCCCAGAGTGCCTATTGTGTGCCAGGCACTGTTCTAGGGGAAGAAATACAGTGACCTCTGTTTCCAAAGAGCTTAATATCTTGAAACAACAGCAACAACAAAATTACCTATATAGGAAAAATTATATATATTAATTCAATTCATATCAATATAAAATTAATATATAAATTACATGCATGCAAATATATATTAATATAATTATATAATATTAATCTACATTAATATTATATGACTATATTAGACAACATATGCTATAAAGAAAACAAGGCCAGGTGATGTGATAGAGAAGGCCTGGGTGGGGTAAAGGTCTCGAAGAAGTGAATTTGAGCTAAGACCTTAGCATAAGAAGCAGACAGCTGTGTGAAGACCCACAGAAAGACAGCTCTAAATGGGGCAACTGATAAGTGCAAGCCCTAAGAGGGCAGTAGCTTGGTGAGTCTGGGAATACACCGAGGCAGGAGGGCTACAGCAAGGGTGGGGAGGGAGACAGCAGGGAGGGAGGCTGATATGGTTTGGCTGTGTCCCCATCCAAATCTCATCTTGAATTGTAGCTTCCTTAATTCCCATGTGTTGTGGGAGGGACCTGGTGGGAGATAATTGAATTGTAGGGGTGCTTTCCCCCATACTGGTAGTGAATGAGTCTCACTAGATCTGATTGTTTTATAAGGGGAAACCCCTTTAACTTGGCTCTCATTCTCTCTCTTGCCTGGTGCCATGTAAGACGTGCCTTTCGCCTTCCACCATGATTGTGAAGCCTCCTCAGCCACGCAGAACTGTGAGTCCATTAAACCTCTTTTTTTTAAAAAATAAATTACCCAGTCTTGGGTATGTCTTTATCAGCAGCGTGAAAACGGACTAACACAGAGGTCAAGGCTCGGGCCCCACAGTAGAGTGCAAGGCCCGGAAGTCACTGGAGGAGTTTAGGCAAAGGAGTAACCTGATCTTATCTCTGTTTCTAAAATATCACTGACTACTATACTGGGCAGATTTCTGCATTCACAGTTTGTAAATCAGGAACAGACATAGAAAAGTCTCCAATAAAAGTTCCTGAAATGAACAAACATTCCTACCTATGATCCACTGTCTCTGAGATGAGAGGAAACTGTTCATGGATTTGAAGCAGAGAAATATGTAACATATTTCAGAAGACCTGCCATCAAAAATAGTTAAACTAAAGAGAATTTTGACACTTAGGTTGCAAGCATCCCTGTCTACCGAGTCAGGGTGTACGAACACTCATTTTCTCCCTGGATAAAGGGAGAGTGTGTTGCTAATGGCCCATGAGCCCAGGACCTTTCCTGGAGAGCCATAATACTCAAGTGTTTGTTTAAAGATCATTAACTACCTAACCAGAGGTCAGGGGGCAGAGAAAGTGAGACGCACAGTGTCAAAAGCCACAGCCAAGATCAATCACAAAGAAACAGAAAACATCTCTGAAATGGTCTGAAAAGGCAATAGGAGAATGAGATTTTTGGGAACATTACTCAGAGTCACTGGAGAATATCACCTTACACTAAGCGTCGTCTGCCCAGTGAGGTGGGGCCCAGGTCACAACTCTTCCCTCCCAGGCGCCTGCAGCAGCCTGTGCGGCTTTCTAAAATGTTTCTCTGATAAAGCAATTGTTTGTCACCACCTCCTTTGTGGGCTCCCATCGTCTACCTCATGGCTTTCAAAGCTTGTCATGGTCCTGCCACGAGCAGGAAGATCCTCTGGTCAGCTGGAATTCTATGGGGACTCCCTGTGATGGGTGGCGGTCTCCTGGTACCCCCTCCACCGCCCCACAAGGCAATCTGCTGAAAAGCCTCACTCACAGGGCTGAGCCCCCACTCCTTAGCTCAGCCACCAGGAAGCCTCCACCATGCAGCCCAACTCCACAGCCTTTTCGGCCCCACATTCTCCCCAACCCTGAAAACGTAGCCAAGGGACTCTTGAATGAATCCTTGTAAATGCTGTGCTTCTGAATGTCTCTGTGCTTTGCCCCTGAGGCTGCTCCCTGGGATTTCTTCCACTGGCAAATTCCCATTCGTCCCTAACCCCTGCTCCCATGGACCTCCTAGAAGGGCTTCTCTGATAACTCCAGACACAGCTGACCATCGGAACCTGACTCACTGTTTGGTTACCACTACTTTACAGGTCAGCCCCAGCCTCTGTGTGCCGACAGATTTAAATTATATACGAAACACCCATGAGTTCATTGCCCTTTCCGCCCCTGAACTACATTATCGATAACTCATACCTACCTGTGTGGTCCTCCCCACTCAGCATTCCCACCTGCCCCAGCGGGAGGGTGCCGCTGCCTTGAATTTGGCGCACAGCATTCCCTTTCTTTTTATACACACGTGTGTATGATTGTGTAAAGGCTCACTACATATGTAGTACACATTCCTAATCAGTAATTTGCTTTGTTGTATAAGTTTCTGAACTGTATGAATAAGGCATTGTGCCAGTTATGATACTAAAAACCTGTGCACATAGTGCATGCACCTGCAGCTCATTTGCTGCCGATGCCATCTGCTGCACCTTGTGTATTTAGCACAACCTGGACTCCTATCGATGTGCACTGGGGGTGTTTCCAGTTCTTTGCTGGAAAATGCTGCAATGAATTTCTTCTGTCACAAGGATCCTGCATGGGCACATGTGCAAGGGCTTCTCAAGGACACAGTTCCTGGAGTTGAACTGCTGGATTGCAGGGTGAATGGCTGTTCAACTTTGCTAGGTAGATAAATCAACTTCTATCAATAAGGCCCAAGACACCCCATTGATACACGTCTGCTCCAACATTTGGCACTGCTAGATTTCTTAATTTTGGCCTATCAAATGTGCATCTCTTCCCTTCTAAATCCCGAGACAAGGACTGTGCTCTCCCTATGCTGCGTCCTCAGTGCCCAGCACAGGAGCTGCTGAGAAACCTGGTTGTGACAGGTCCAGATAAACGCCCAGCCGCTCTGAAGAGAGTGACTGCATCAGATTCTGGAAAAGAAATGCCCCTTGTGGCAAAATCATACCTGGCAAAGCACCGAGCTGAGATTCCAGACGTGCCGGGGCTTGAGCGAGATCCTTGTGTTTATGAGCCTTCCTGTGAGAGAGGGCGGCCAGGGGCCTCATGCTGCCCTGATGCCCCTTCCCCCTCCTCCTCCCCATCAAGCCGAACGTCAAGCAGGCTTTATTCAAAGCATGTTCTCTTTTCAACAGGGCTTGTGTTCTCAGGACTGAAATCATAAAGAATGCCTTACCAGGGCACCATGAAGAGCACAAAGATAAATAACTGTGCAAATCAAGATTTTAAGGGCCTAGACAGGAAATTGTGCAGCAGATAAAGATGGGGACAGGGCAGCATGGCACTCCCATGGGTTCTCACAGGCGCATGCAGACAGCATTGCCACACGGGGTGGTCAGTGAGCCCACGCTCACTGAGGGACGCTTCGGAACAGAAGACCCATTTAGAACACCAGAGATAAAGAAAAGTAGATAATTTTACCAACCTAAGAATGAGAAAAACAGGCTTTCCTTTTAGTCATTTATCTTCTAGCCAACTTTGAGGGCCTCTCTCCATCTACTGAATAACTCACTCCTCAAACATTCGCTAATGTCCACGGGGCGCAGCTGAGGTGGCGCACGCACATTCTCTCAACACGTGGGTAGCAACCTTCTCTCAGGACCAGGCCCAGGCTCTGGAATGCCAGCAGGACGAGCAAAACAGATAGTTTTAGACAGTTGGGTTCTATAAAGTCTGCTGTCTTCTAGAGAAGAAAGATGTTAATTAGATCACCACTGAATACATGAGGAATTATGAAACTGTGGGAGGTACTGTGAGAAAAAAGGATGAGGCTGTATGAGAGCGAACAACTGGGAGACCTAATTCATTGTGGGTAGTCAGGGAGGACTTCCCTGAGGAGGTGGCATTGGAGCCAAGACCAGATCGGTAACAAACCACCCACAGGGATTCCAGGCAGAGGGAAGAGCAGAGCAGGCCTAAGGCCCTGGGCAGGGGAAGAACCAGGCCCCCAGTGGAACTGCGGGTGGCAGGGCTGGCTGAGGTGCGGTGGTCCAGGGAGGCAGCAGGTTGGAGACATGGGCCAGCCACCATTGCCATGGGACAAAGCACCAGGAAGCCACCAGTGATGGGGCACAGGGGATGGCAGAGGAATGACACTGCCAGTTTGCGGTTTTAAAAGATGCAAACTGGCTATACAGTTTGGGGAATAGATTCAGGGGAGGTAGAGAAGTAAGAAAGGAAACATGGAAATTAGCAAGGAAGATACTCAGAGTTCAAGACATATTTTGGTGGTGACAGACTAGATGTGGGGACAAGGAGAGACTGGTGTGTAAAGAACAGCTGGTGTGTAAAGAACAGCTGATGTGTAAAGAACAGCTCCCAGGTTTCTAGTTTGAGGATCTGCCTCATGCTAGGTGGGAGCAGGGAGGAGCCAGCTTCAGGGGAGGGGAGCTGGGAGTTCTGCAAGTAGGAGCTGTCTCTGAGGCTGCCAGAGAGACACAGACGTCTGAGTTCCAGGGGAGGTGGAGACTGGAGCTGGGAGCATACAGACTTACACCCAACTGCCTCTTTGAATGGCTGACAGGCATCCCAGCTTACTACGCCCAGAACCTAAAGTCTCCTTCAGCCTTCTGCTTCTCCAGGGCAACGCTCTGATGTCAGGGGAAAAGCTGGGGCTTCCACCCACCTGGACTCTCCTTGTCCTCTTGTAGCTGTAACCAGCCATCAGGAGACAGGGTCGGCTCTACCTTCCAAGTAGGTCCAGTGCCTGACCCCTTCCTGTCCCTGCACTGCCTGCCCTGGTCCCAGCCTCACCTGGCTTGGATTGTTGCCCCCTCCCCCGCAGCCTGTTCTTCCAAGAGCCTGTTCTTCCCCACAGCCTGTTCTTCCTGTTCTTGGGAAAACACAGATGATGTGACCCTGGGGTTTGCCTCCAGGCTCTCCACTGGCCTCCCATCTCACTCTGTAAAAGCTGAAGTCCTTTCCAGGACTCACAATGCCACACAGCCCCCGTGATGTCTCTGACTTTATTTGCTGTGACCCCGACCCACTGTTCACATCCCTTCAGTCATGTGGGCCTTGCTTCCCATTCCCTGAATGTGCCAGGCATGCTCCCACCTCATGGCCTCTGCACCTGCAGTTCCTCTCTTCCTCACTTCCTTCCCATACCTGCTTGGATGCCACTGTATCAGAGCCCCTCCTCAGTCACCCCACCCAGCAAGAGACAGGCATTGGCCTATCCCTGTCACTCTCTAGCACCTTGCCCACTTGGTTTTTCATCATAGAGCTTCCCAACGCTTGGCATCCCTTTGTTCACTGGCTGTCACTCCCGCACTGGAATGGAACCTCCATGAGGACCAGGCTTTGCTTTGTTTTTTTCCATTTCTATCTGCAGTGCCCAGCGCCATGCCTGGAATGTGGGAGGCCTCAATGCAAGTGGGAAGAGTAACTGAAAGGAGCCAAGCCACATGGGCCCTCTTTTGGGGAGCTCCTCCTGGGCCCAAGCTCCACATTCACAGCTGCAGGAACAGGGTGGTCCTGGGGCTGGCCAGGCCCTCAGAGGATCCACAAAACCCCAAGGGTAAAGAGTCTACCAAATGGGAGGATAGGGCTGGGGCCTGCTGCCCAGGGGCCCCCAGTGTCCCAGGCGGGGTACGCAGTGAGAAGGGCAGCAGAGAAGGCTGGGAGGTGGAATGGGGAGAGGTGCTGCTGCCCTATACCACCATGGTGGCCTCTGGGAGGTCCGTCCCCTGAGCCTAGCTCCCCAGAGGGCATGGGTGATTGCAGAGGCTCTCCCTCACATCCTTCCCATCCCTCCAGCACCAAGCACTTCTGGGGAAGGAGGGAGGGAGGAACACATCAAACAAGCAAACACTTTTTAAAACTCAAGTTCGTGCTTGCTAAGCAGTTTGGTCCTTTCTGATTAACAAAGAAGCTTTGCCATCCTCTGGGTCAGTTATTCTTCATAAAAAACCCCACAGGCAGGTCAATATTTTGACATTCAATTTTATGGATGAAGAAACAGAGGTTTTTGATGTCTCCAAGGTCACAAAACAAATAGGCTGAGACTTGGGACGATAAACGCTGGGACTGCAAGGCAGGCCTGATGTTCCACGGCCTCAGCTCTGACAGTCGAGCAGAACCACACCCTGCCCTGCCAGACTCGGGGCTCAGCCAGTCAGGGTGCTGGCAGCAGGCAGCAGGCAGCTGTGGCTCCTGAGTGATTGAACATGTAGAGCCCACACAGCCTGAGCCCAAAAAGATGGCTCCTGGGGCAGAAGCAGAGAGGGAAGACTCAAGACAGGGGACTCCTCGCCACCAGTGTGACTCTCACATCAATGCCAATGGGCAAGTAAGATGAGCCCCCTTTCTCGGGTGAGAAAGCAAAGCCCAGGACAGTCAGGCCTGCCTCGAGACTCAGATGTGGCAGAGGCAGGTTCAGTCTAGGCTGTCTCACCTGGAAGCTCATGCCAGCAGCTACCCTGGGGAAGGTCAGCAGCAGCCCTCTCCCTGCTGGACTTGCCCATGGAGTTTTCAGAGCTAACTCTCAGCTGCATCCCTCCCTCCCAACCTCCCATGTTTCCTGTTTTTGAGTAGCACAATATGCCCAGTTTGCTGATCAAGTGGATGAGAGAACAAATGAACACCCCCTTCTGACTGCTCCCAGGCCCGATGAGCTCGATACTCCTTCTGGCTTTTCGACTGTCTTTCAACTTAGCTTTCTGGTGTTTTGAGGATTCTGCATGGTAGTGTGCCCAGCATGATCTGGTTTCCCTTTACCATGCACTTTCTGAGGCTACTGAAAACATCCAGCAGGAACAGTTTGAGGTGGAGTCATCCTGTGCTCATCTCTGTTCTCCACAGCATCTTGCATGAAATAGTAGGCACTCAACTGAAGTGCACACGAGCTGCATTATGTTACCACAGGGCCGATATGGAAGATGGAGAAAGAGTTGGATACCTATGATGGGGAAAATCTTTACACACCTGATTCCATTCACTTCTAATGATAGTGGCTAATGATGATCTCACTTTACAGACAAGGAAATTGAAGCCCCCAGAGGTTAAGACATTTATTCAAAGCATGCAATCTGCCTGTCATTAAAGCACATATTCTCTTACTACATCACACCAGAAAAACACACTCCACCACAGAAGTCCAAGATGAAACACAATTCAGCACAGCGATATCACTAACATGGGCACTCCTTCTGTCAGGTAAGAAATGGACAGCCCACACCATCACAACAAACTTTAAAGGAACAGCAGTGTTGGGGGGTCCCTCCAGCATTTTACAGAATCAACAGATGCTTGAGTGAAGCAGGTAACAGACTTGTGCTTAGCAGCCTTTCTAATGTGCAGAGATTTTGTAATAATGTACCAGCTATAATAAGATTGGACCTCTATTATCCATTTTGTTCCACTAATGAGCCTGGAAGCTCCTGGTTGTGCCAAGGGCTAGGGTTGGGACCTTGCAACTTCATCATTACTTAATAAAATGTAAATCGGAGAGGAAAAGAAACACACAAGGTTTGACACTAATAAGCTTACAGCAGGATCAGTTACTTCAATTCAAAGAGGTTCAGGCTGGAGGGGAAAAATGAAATAAGCTTTTAAAGATCAGTCTAGGTTTGGCTCCATCAGACCTAACCAATTTTGTTTAATAAGGTTCAATTTGGCTGCTCTTATTTCTCCCTCTTCTTCGACCTAGGCTGGGTACAGATAAGACATTTTCCCCCGCCTAATGCATTTAATCACATCTCACACACAACAAGTCAAACCTAGGGCTGTGCATGAGGACAGAGCAGTATGGGCCCTGGAGACTGCCAGCGCTGCCCCTGCAGGTTGAGATCCCAGCTCCCCAGCACCACCTCTGGGGCTGCGAGAGGGAACCTCAGGTCACCTGTTCAAGACCAGCCTGGCCAACATGGTGAAACCCCAACTCTACAAAAGTATAAAAATTAGCCGGGCATTATGGCGGGTGCCTGTAATCCCAGCTACTTGGGATGCTGGGGTGGGAGAATCACTTGAACCCAGGAGGTGGAGGTTGCAGTGACCCGATATTGCGCCATTGCACTCCCGCCTGGGTGACAGAGCGAGACTCCGTCTCAAAAATAAAAAATACTCAATGGAGCACTTTGGATTTTGGATTTCTGGATTTCAGATGCTTAACCTGTTAAGTATATCATGCTAATATTCCAAAATCCAAAACAATCTGAAATCGAAACACTTCTGGTCCCAAGCATTTCGGATAAGGGACATTCAACTTGTATAGACTTATTAGTGTAAACAGTGGCACCATGTTTGTAGTTAATTTACTACTTGCCTCCCTCCTGCAGCAATATATTGGTGACATCTATTCATATTTGTGTGTGTGTATATACATATATATACTACCATACACATGTGTGTGTATATAACATGTGTATATATACACACATATATGCAGCTGTCAAAAAACATACAATAACATATATATGGTATTCTTTTTTGACAGCTGTATAGTATTTCTTTATATGTCATTTATCCATACCCTTAATGGACATGTGAGTTGCTATTTATACTACTAGAATGATTTCACGGTGGCCATTTCTTTATACATCAAATTGTATATATACATAGGGTTTTTCTAGCATAGATATCTGGATGAGAAACTGTGGTGTTGTGGGACACAGTTTCAGTTTTACTAGATCTTGTAGATTTTTCTCTAAAGTGGGTGGTTACGCTTCCACCAGCAGTACAAGAAATAACCTCTTCCCCACACCCTCCCCAGCACCTGAGGCTGCAGGCCTTTAAATTTTTGCAGTCTAATAGATAAGGTGTGCTGACCCATTGCTATCTTAGTGTGCAGTTTCCAATTACCAGGAAAAAGTCTCTCCTAGAAGGGGTCTCTGGAGTCTCCCCAACATCTACTGTCCCACCCACAACTCCTAGGGGTGGCAAAGTGCATGTACCTCAGCCACTATGTGAGCCAGGTGCTCAGTGACACACACAACTCTTTAGGAAGGGGAGATGCATGGAGGAGAAGGGGAGAAAGGAAGGGGGATGCATTGAGGAAGGAGAGGGAAGAGGGGAGATGCATTGAGGAAGTGGGGAAGAGGGGAGATGCACTGAGGAAGGGGAGGGAAGAGGGGAGATGCCTTTAGGAAGGGAGGAAGAGGGGAGATGCATTTAGGAAGGGGGGAAGATGAGAGATGCATTGGGGAAGGGGTGGAAGAGGGGAGATGCACTGAGGAAGGGGGGAAGAGGGGAGATGCATTGAGGAAGGGGGGAAGAAGGGAGATGCATTGAGGAAGGGGGAAGAGGGGAGATGTACTGAGGAAGGGGGGAAGAGGGGAGATGCACTGAGGAAGGGGAGAAGAGGGGAGATGTACTGAGGAAGGGGGAAGAGGGGAGATGCACTGAGGAAGAGGGGAGATGCACTGAGGAAGGGGGGAAGAGGGGAGATGCACTGAGAAGGGGGGAAGAGGGGAGATGCATTGAGGAAGGGGGAAGAGGGGAGATGCATTGAGGAAGGGGGAAGAGGGGAGATGCACTGAGGAAGGGGGGAAGAGGGGAGATGCACTGAGGAATGGGGAAGAGGGGAGATGCACTGAGGAAGGGGGGAAGAGGGGAGATGCACTGAGGAAGGGGGAAGAGGGGAGATGCACTGAGGAAGGGGGGAAGAGGGGAGATGCACTGAGGAAGGGGGAAGAGGGGAGATGCACTGAGGAATGGGGAAGAGGGGAGATGCACTGAGGAAGGGGGGAAGAGGGGAGATGCACTGAGGAATGGGGAAGAGGGGAGATGCACTGAGGAAGGGGGAAGAGGGGAGATGCACTGAGGAAGCGGGGAAGAGGGGAGATGCACTGATGCCCCCTGCCCCCTTGTGCCCAGGCTGGGCTCGGATTCCCAAGCGTCAGTAAGGCCCTTGCACACAGCGTGGCTAGTGTTACCTGGAGCCCCACAGGAACACTGCTGCCCTGCCCAGCTCTCCTCACCCCTGTGGCGCCCTGTACCCAGCTGAATCCCACTCACTGAGACCTCAGGGGTCCCCCGACCAGCTCACAAAACCTGTTCTGAGTCTCCAGGCAGACCAGGACGCTCCTTAAGCCCCGTAACCTGTTAGCATCTGTCCAGTGTGTGCCTGTGCGCTCTGTTGTTTCCTGGATCGGGCAGACAGCCCCAGGTAGACAGGCTGGGTTTATTTTGCTCACCACCGATCCTCAGCACAGTGCCTGCCACATGGGGCACACTCTGAGAGGAAGGGAATGATCTGGCTTTCTACCATGTGGCCCAGCAAAGGCCCCTGACCATCTGTGGCGACCTTACAAACAAACCCTCGTGATTAACCTCCCAGTCACTGCAACAATGGAAAACCATAAAAGTGACAAGGGGCCTACCAGGGAGCTTCACCAGGGAGCTTTACGCTCCTCCTCCCAGCCACCCCAAGTATTTGCCATCCCATAAAACTTTAAATGAATTACAGCAATGCTGGATTCTTCTGTTTTCTATACAACTGGGACTTTGTTTTTAATGACATCCCTGGGCTTTTTAGGGGGTAAGGAATCCTTGGGAGGTAAGCCAAGGGATCCAGCTCTGTTTTCAGGGCTGAGCCAGAAAAGCCATCACCGCCATGGAGCAGTGAACAGTACCTCACCTGTGGGCCCTGGGCCTGAGCAAAGAGCCCAGGTGGGTCTGGGTCTTAAAGGAATGGATCCAAGGTGGACAGAAAGATCCCCACAGTTCCAAGGCTACCCTGTCCTTCAGCCAGGTTTATGAAAGCCCAGCACTGGCCATGTCCCTCCTATGTGTGGCTCCCACAGCTCCCGCCCCTCAGGGCAGGCTGCTGGATGGGCACACAGGCCTGTGGCCATCTGGCTGGCTCCTGAGCACTCCTCAGCACTGCCCTCAGCACCCTAAGCTTGGGCCAAGTCCAACTCATGGCCTAGAGGCCCGATGGTGCCTCCCAGCCCTGTGCCTGGGCAGAGCTGGCTTCCTGACTGCCAGGCCCCTCCTCGTCCTTCCAGCCTTACTCCAGCTAGAGCAGGTCATGCTGCCTGCCCACCTTGGCCCCCACAGCCCCCGCCACTTGACCCCCACTTTATCTCCGATACTTGCTATGTAGCCATGCCTTTAGCTCCTGCCTCCTGTCCAGACTGAGAGCATCAGCGGGGGTGGGGGGGGGTGGGGCTGGGTGGCACTAATCTCCGTCCCTGGCACAGAGGAGCATGCTCAGGAACGTCCGTCACACTCAACTGATGATCCCCTGCACCCCAGTGCAGCTGTGCAGGGGCAACATCACTTGGACTCACATCCTGCAGGAGCACTGGCCTGTGGCTGCTGGCACCAGAGCATCAGCAAGGCTAGACAAGGGTATGACCAGCAAGCCAAGGGCAGAGACAGGGGCCCCAGGGAAGCTGCCCAGCAGCTGAGCCTGGGCCTCGCTCTCCCTCCGTGGGTGCTGGAGGGGGAGTGGTTGAAGGCATTTGGGTCCATGACAGTAATGATAAGAAGAAATAGGGAAGAAGAAAAGAGAATCATCACTGTGACAGTGAGCAAGGAGGGTGAGAGGCGGGGTGCCAAGGATCACACTGGGACTCAGTCATCCAATTGAGCTGCCACTGCGAGCCTCCTGAGACACAGGGTATCCTATTCCAAACCCAAATCCCAGGGACTGAGGTGGCTGCAAAAGGGGGCTGCTAGGTCTGGGATGTATTTTCAAATTCAAAATTCAACCTGCCACTATTTCTTGAGGTGGATCAAAGAAAAAGGAATGCCACCTACATTGTTAATCCCTGTAAAACGGCGAGGCACTCTCACCTGGCACGGTGCTGTGGGGCCTCAGTGGACACTGGATACAAGGCTCGGAGCCCCAGGAGGCCAGCCCCACCCCCTGAGGGGCAGTTCCCTATGTGCCACCAATATGGCATAAAAGCCCTTGTAATCCAAGGGATGTAAAGCAGTGGTGACCCTAAGAACTGACTTTCTCTCTAGGTTTATTCTTTTGCTCATAATTTCTGTTTATTACAACTTTAGCCTTACAGACAAGAAACTACAAGAGCTTTATGACATTCCATTGTTATCCTTACAACTTGCTGGAAGGGCAGGCATGCAATGGGCTTACGGCCCACTCCTTGGTCCTGGGGTGCACCAGGGCATCTAATTTGCACCCCACACCTCATCCCATGGCCTGGACCTTGCCTACCTGCATTCTGACATCTGGACGGCGCATGTGGCTTGAGGCATGGGCTCCTTTTACTCCACAAGATGGCTGTTAGACTGTGATTCTGTTTAGAGCCAGAATCACCCCTGCACTCACCTCCCACCCCACTTAGGCCTGGCCCACTTCTGTGGGTGCCCACTGTCAGCAGTGAGCATGCTGGACTTGGGGCCAGATTCACTGAGGTTGGAGCTGTGGCTCCAGCTCTGAGCTGTGGGCAAGTTCTGTAACTTCTAGACTTCAGTGTCCTCACCAATAGACTAAGGGTACCAGGTCCTAGCCACAGGGATTCTGTGAAAATTGAAGGAGGCAGCATGTGCCTAGGGTCTCCCTGAGCCCTTGTAAGTACCAAGTCCTCAGTGAACTGTGGTGGCCCCCAGCCCTTGTTCACGGTTCAAGCCTCAGCCTTTGGCTCCTTCCTCATGGGCGCCCTTCCCATAGCCCACGAGCCAACAAATCCCAGAGTTCGCCTGCCTCACACCCACAGTCTCTTTCTGGTCACTGGGCCTCACTTCTTGCTCAGACACCCATAGCAGCCGCCCCCTCCTCCATGTACTGCCAGGCCACTTCCCTAGTACAGAGCCTGGGTCAGGCTAGGTCCTCAATGAAACCTGCCAGGGCTCCGGGTGCCCTGGTGCTCACCCCTGGCCTTCCTCCTGCATCTGTGCAGTGCTCTCCAGAGCTCTGGGCTGGTCTCCCAGCACACTCCCTGCCTCTGCCCTACTGTTTATCCATGTGGAATGCCTTCCTGCACATCTTTCCCAGCACTCATTCTTCATGGCCCATCTCCCTTATTCCTTCCACTGGCTTTAATTCAACACGCTCATGTAGCACCTACTCCATGGCAGGCCATGTGCTGGCCTTGGGATGTGGGGGAAGCCATGGCCCTTGTCCTCCGAACTCCAGACTCACTGGGGAGACAGATGTATAAAGTATATTTAGAATATGATGTGTATTCATATTTCATTAGAATATGAAAGTATTATGAGGGAGGCAGCAGAGAGGAGGACATCTGAATTGGGTCTGGAATGACAATGACATACAAATGAGATCGGGAGAGAGGGGGACAACCTTGGGGGGGGGGGGATGGGAAAAGTGCAGGGAGGTGCCAGGGCAGGTCTGAGGCAGAGTTCTTGATACCTCCCAGGAGAGCGCTGTGCAGGTGTACACAAGAAGATGGTCAGTGCAGCACAGGGAATAATCACAAAGACAGGGCAGCAGTCTGAAAGTCCATCAGTGGGGACATGGCGATGTGTGACATGAGGTGTCCACACTGATGAGCACACGTGGGGGCAGGCAGTGTGGTAGCTCTGTGTGTAGTGATGAGGCAAGGTCTCTGAGAATCCATGTGGGGCATGGCCAGAAAAGTGCAAACACTGCTCAGAATATGATGCCACACATTCACACATTTACACAACAGTGCTGTGCATTTCTGTGAGCACAGCGCATAGAACAAGGGTTTGGAAGGTTAAACCCAAAAGAATTAACAGGATCTCCTCTAGATGAGAGGCCAGGATGGGATGTGATGCAACAGGCCTCCTTTTCCCTTAACTGAAAGGTTTCAGTTTTGCTACAGGAAATTCATGAATTGATTGTGTGATTAAAACTTAACTATTTAAGAATAAAAAGACAGATTTTCTAGTCAATTAAATGTAATAGAATCCAGTTCCAATCAGTTTACTCAATACAGACTGACAGTCTACTCTGAGGCAGACTCTGGGGGAGGCCAGCCCTGGGCTGAGAGGAGGAAATGGAGGGGTCAGGTGCTGGGAGGAAGAGAAGCACTTCTGAGCCTCCTGGCTGGGTCTGTCACACTGCTGGCTTGAGTCTCGCCTTCCCCAGCAACACCTGGAAGCCACCACCATAAGATGAGAAGCCAGAATGCCCAACCCACATGAGAAAATCGAGGTGCTCCTTGCTGAGGTAACTGGCCCAGGATGGGAGACTATCTTTTCCCTCCATCTACAGAAACAGCTGTACCACCTGCCAAGATGGGGTGGGCAAAAGAGATGGTGGGAGTCTCTCAGTTCTCCACAAAATAAAAAGGGCAATGCAGTAAAGTGTGAGGTGCAATCCAAGCTTCACGCAGTGCCTGGCCCAGCAGCCAGAGAGCAGGAGGGCACCACAGGCTGGGCCCAGGAGCCAGGCACTCTGAAGACACCAATATATTTTGTACTAAACTTGAGCGCACCAGCCCTAACTCTGAGGTGCCTGGGGGCAAGCATCTGTTCCTCACTGCAGTTGTCTGGAGACAATGACAAACCCCTCATGCTTCTATCCCTCAACACCCCCTCCAGATGCTCCCCCAGCACCACACAAGATCACACTGGTCCAGCCTTTCTGGAATGCTCTCATCATTTCTACATTTCTTGTCCAAGAATTCCACCTCAGGGAAACTCTCCAAAAGTCAAAGGTGGATCACTGGAAATATTCACCTTAGTATGATAAAATATTCACCTTATTTAGGATAGGCAAAAGATGGAGACAATCTAGCTGCCTAACAATAGAGGAATGGCTAAATAAAACAGCAGGCAAGGTGTTACATAATAAAATATATGAAGCACTTTTATCAGCATGGAAAATGTTTTCTCTGTAATACTGAACCAATAATCAAGGTATAAAAATGTATTTAAAATACAGTCTTAACTATAGTTAAGGGGGAGGTTTTTTTTCCCAGTTTCTTTATACTCCACAAAAATGTCTAAAGTAATCACACATTGCTTTCATACATGAAGAAAAGGTTCAAAAAGAAATACCTAAACTAAAAGAGAAAGACCATCCCACCAGGTTGTAGCTCGGTGTTGTGCCTGGCTCCTGAGGCTGCAAAGACTCTTAGGAATTCCTCCCCGTGCAAACATCTTCCCGGAGAGCCTGCTGCAGAACAGGCCTTCTACAGGGCACCTGAGACCACTCTCTCCAACCTCACCACCACCTGACACCTGAGGAAACTGAGAGTCAGTAGCCTGCCCAAGGCCCCTCAGCTGGTAAATGGTGAAACTCAGACCCAAGCCCAGCAAGGCCTGACTGAAGTGGGAGCTCATTTGGCCACAGCAATGGCTGGGCCTGAGGCACAGAGGCTTGGGTCCAAATCTGGAGCAAAGTGAGGAAGCTGTCACAAAAGACAACTTGGATGTCCTCAGCAAGGCTCAACAGGGAGATCACTTCCCCCTTCCCCCTTCCCCAGGAACAAAAGCCTGGCTGGGTCTGCACAGACTGTATGGCACGGGGAGCAGTGACAGCTCTGGGCTCCAGGTCCACTCTGGGATGATGCATCCCACCTTCAGGCAGAGAGTAGGCCAGCGAGGGATGTTGGGGGCCTGCCCTGCCTGTGTGAAGAACAAGTGCACGGACTGGCCGTTATCTCTCTTTGTTATGAAGCTTCTTTCTAACCATGAAATAGAGGTCAAGGTACAGTCTGTCTGGGACGGAGAGGCAGCCTTGAGTTTGAGGTCTGGCAACAGCAACAGGAAGGTTACCCTGTGCTAAGGATGTTTTTCTCCTCTCTATTTTTCTATTTCTTCTTTTTCATTTTCCAAGTTTAGCCTTTAGTATTAGCATATTTAAAACTTTAAGGAAACATTCAGTGTCTCAATCTTAAACTCAAACAAATCACCTGGAATTAACTCCACCAAAAAGAATTGAGGGCCTGGTACAGCCAGACCATGCAAAGCCCTAGGCCTACAACTGTGCCCCACAGGCGGGCAGAGCAGCTGGTAGAAAGTGCACTCTTCTGTCGTGCAGGATGGAATGGGTTGGAAGTTGGCTATCAGAAAATAAAAGAGCAACTTTCCCCTCCTGGATCTCTCTCTCTCCTCCCTGGGATCTCTCAGGGAAAGCGCTTAGTAACTCCATGGAGTAAGGCATTCATTGAACCACCTGAAATCTGTATTTTCCATGGGACCTGGAATCCTCAAGTGCAAACAGTGTGCTGACACCCCAACACATGGAGGGCCAGGAAGTCCTGAAAGACAGCATGATGTGTTTCTCTTTCCCACAGAGAAGCCCCCCACTCCATGGCAGAGGAGAATAAATCCCTGAAGCTGACTGCTAGAAGCACAGAAATTCTTTGAAATACCAAGTTTTGGACTTTAAGATTCATGGAAACTTTGCATTCTATGTCATAATAGATTCATGTTTGTTTTAACATAAAAGTGAGGTTTGGAATTAACTGCCCTTGGGAAAACTGACACTGTAGAAAACTCAACTGCTGGCCCTTCGGCATTCAGCCCTGGGGCACATGATAGCATTCACCCCACTCCCAGCCCCAGACCAAAGAGTATGCAAGGTGAGGATGAATTCAGCTGAGGGACCCAGGCCGTGAGAGGTCCGTGTCCATGGCTACACGTGCCTCCTTCCCCAGAGCAGATGGAGGCCAGTGGGGAGCCCACCGCCCCTTCAACGGTCTGGTTTCTGCAGCAAGCCTCAGCTGAGGGAGCCCCTGCCACAGGGGGGGAGGCGCTCAGACTCAGAGATACACCTGTACCTTCTGATCCTGCATCCTCACTCTGCTGAAGGAACACCAGGCTGCTCCAACACAGGCTGACCCTACTGAGAGGATGGGCTGGCATTCAACATGGCAGCCGCCCAAGTGATTTTCCAGGGTCATGTTTACTCTCCATGATCTGCCCTGGGGGCTGGCTCCTTCAGGGGAGGAAGTGCTCCAGCTCTGGAACGAATCATGCTGGCTGGTTCTACTGCCTCCTGGCTGGCCAACTTTGGGCTCTTTACCCCAGTTCCCTTGTTAGTAAAAAGGGGATAATAACACCCGTGGGGCTATGGCGAGAAGTCAAGGCCAAGCACAGCACCTAACACTCAGGTAAGAGTAATTCGTGTTAGGATTGACAGAGTGAAATTAAAAGACTAGGGCTGGGAGGGCAGGGAAGCACTGCACCTGTGAAGTGAGGTATGCTGTTTCCAGCACTTCAAATAACAAAGGTCAGTTCCGGGCCAGAGCCGACAGAATGGCATGGGCTCCACCACAGCCCAAGGAGGATCCCTTCGTTCCACTGTGTCTGACCCTCAGGGAATCCGCCTGGAGAAAACGGCTCCAAGAACTTGGGTAACCAGATGGACTCAAAAGGAGGCTCGGCTTCTGCCAGCAGTTCCCATTTCCCATATGCAAGAGATCCCTCCAAAGGTACAAGCAAAGCTCAGGGCTGACAAGTGTTTTCCTGGTTATCTGGAGAGATTTAGCTAACTAAGTATGTGAACTACCCCTAAGTGCAGAAACCAGTATACACCACTTATGTGACAGCTCTTCCCAAAAGCTGTCATGCATTCAGAAGTCATTACCCTGAGGTTGGGGTGTCAATATTAAATATCTTAAAACTTTATCAGTTGTAGCTAAGGTTAATGGAAATACTTTAAACATGTTAAGCAAATACTCTGAATGGGAAAATGCCAGGAAATACTCTGCCCCGGGGTGGGGTAGAAAAGCAGCCCCCACCAATCTGCAGAGTCAGAGGGTACTTCCTAACAAAGTGACAGCTGGATGTCAGTCAAGCAAAGAAAGACCAGAGGACCAGCAGGGGCAAAGGTGGGGACGGGGTGGCAGCAAGGTCCAAACCACCCCTGTGCTTCGGGCTGCAGACCCCAGCTCTCCCACAGCTCTCACTGCCCCTGTGGCACCTCCTGCTCTGGATCCAAAGCCTTAAAGGGCCCAGGGAAGGTGACCAACCATTAAGGGCCACTCTGAGTCTCTGCCCCATCAGCTCAGCCGCTACTCTCATGTCTGAACGGCTCACAATCTCACATGTTCTGGCAATGCATTAACGGATGGGACTTTGGGCTAAGGTGGGCCCATTCAGGCCACGGATGCCACAGGAAGCTGATGAGTGGCCTTTAGTGTCTTTAGGTTCTCAAGGCCCAAGAGTAAAGCCTCGAAACCCCACCAGGCTGTCAGCCTTGCTTCCTTTGGGAGCAACACTTTCCCTGGAGGGAGTTGGTGACAATTGTGATGACCGTGATGATGATGTCGGCAGCAGTAATGACAGCAACTAACATTGACTGAGCACTTGCCCCATGTGGGCACCACACTGAGGGGCTCCCAGGTAGGGACACGGTCCCTCCACAAGCTGCAGGGCAAGTAGGCGCAGGCATGCTGGCTTCAGTCACTTGCCTGCCATCACCCAGCCAGCAGGTGGCAGAGCTGGGATTTGAACCTGGACGGGCCGTCATGGCAACAGCCCCAGGAGAGACAAATGCAAGCTCCTTCCTTGACACATGTGCCCCAAGCTGGGCACTGGGGATTCTCAATTCATGGGGAAACTGCTCCTGCTATAGAGGGGTACCAGCCTGGGGAAAGGCAAAGTAGCCCTAGAGTACCAGGATGGAAACTCAGTGAGGGGACAGAGAGGAGCGGTGCTGCTGTGTGAACGAGCACTGCTGCTCCCCCACGCTGGCCCTCACTCACTGCTTCTCCCCTCACTGCCAATCTGGACATCTTCAGCTCCCAGCTCACTGCCTCGGGAGGCTCCCCAGTCTCCTCTAAACCCCTGCTGTCTTCTCACAGAGGCTGCTCCTCAGGTCAGCCTCACCACTTGTGGTGACAGGGCCCACTGTTGTTTAAAGTCTGTCTTCCACATGGCACTGGACATTCCATCGGGGCAAGGATGGGCCACCAGTGCAGACCCAGCAGGCAGCCCAGTGCTGGCACCTTATCTTACTGAATGGAATACATGCTCCTGGGAAGGCCCTTCCTGGGTGGAAGGTGGATGAGGGGCACAGTAGGCAGGGGAAAGCCAGTGCAGGGACAGGCGGGCGCCCATAGTGAAAGGCTAGGAGTGCCGTGGCCTGGGCAGGCAGCAGGGGCCCCTCCAGCCTGTCAGGACAGTGTCCTAGCTAGCAGGATGCACCCCATGTGGTCTGCCCAGAGACTGTCCTGGGGGAGTGAAGCCTGGGACAGAGGCCTGAACAGGAAGGGAGAGGGACAGGTCATAAAATCCTTGCCTGGGTCCTTCCCCCTCTCCACCCACTGTGGCTGCCCCCTGAGGGCCAGCTCATGGAGGCAGAACTTGGCAGCAGCTGGGGCAGCTCTTCTTCCCTCTCAGAAAATGTAAGCCTGGCACATGAGAGCAATTATAAATCTGAAAACACACAAGCAGAAAGCCAGTTCCAAGCCAGCTCTGACAGGGCCCTGGCTCAGCTCCTTGCCCCAGCCCATCCCGGGAGCACAGCACTCTCCCCCAGAGCTTCCCACCTGTCTCCCACCTTGGCCTGCCTGACCCTGCCTCTCCCAGTCTCTCTGAAGCTCCACTGCCTCTCAGCAGCCTTCCAAGGCTGCCTGGCACCCCCAGGGCCTCCCACACATATTTGTGCCATCCCTGCCTTTGTCGCCACCTCCACTCAGGTCATCAGCACTGGGCAGTGTTCTATAAGCTCACATGGATTAACCTACTCAATCCTCACAGCAAGCCTAAGAGGTAGGTCCCGTTATGTCCTGCATTGTACAGGTGACCAAACTGGGGCCCAGAGTTTGGGTGACTAGCCAGAGGCCACTAGTCCAGCAGTGACGGAGTGGGGCATGAGCCCAGGAAGCTCCCGTCCAGGAGTCTGCAAACCTCCTATCTTCCTCATAGGGCCAAGCCAGTTCTAACACTTATACACTGGTGGAGTGGCTACCGCCTTGCTTGTTTGTCCTACAGGGACCTCCTCGAGAGAATGGTCACTCTAATTCATCTTTGCATCTGCCACACCCAGAAGGGGGCCTGGTACGCTGCCAGTGCTAACAACAGTTCAGTAAATGAGCAATTGATGGCAAGCAACCTTTTCTCCTCATAACACAGTGGTTAGGAAGGCAGGTTTTCAAGTCAGACTTCTTGGGTTCAAATCCTTCATATTAGCTACGTGACCCCAGGCCAGGGATGTCACCTCTCTAAGTTCCCTTAAATGGAAAATGTACCTAACTAATTGGGCATTTGTGAGGTTACATTGAGATAATCCACGTGAAATGATTAGCATGGTATCTTTAAAAATTAGAAGTTGTTCAATATAAATTAGCGATTAAAACTACTACTGCTACTATTTTATCATCAATAAAATGGAGATGAGCATCCCAACTTCATTTGGATTATGGTGACAATGAAAGTAAAAGAGATAAGCTGTGTGCTGCACTGGCATCAAGAAAAGACTCAGAGGAGTGGCGCTCTGCCCCAGTGCCCTTGAAGCCTACAAGCCAGGGGGCAACAAGCTCTCCTGGAGAAGGTGACAGTAAGCAGTTTAGGCTTTGGAGGCCACACAACCTCTGTTGCAACTACTTGACTCTGCCATTGCAGTGCTTTATTTATCAAAACAGGTGGCAGGCTGCAGTGCGCTGACTCCTGCTGTGCACCGAGGCAGGACACTGTAAACAGTGTCCTATGAACAGGAACACTGACCTGCCCCTATTGAAGCCAGACACCCAGCCAATCAGCAGGGCCAAACCTGTGCTGCCAGCAGCAGGTGCTGTACACACGCCAGGGGCCAGCGGCAGAACTGAGCGTGTCTGCAGAGCAGGCCTGCAAGAGGGGCTACTCCCTTGGCAGCCATTTCCTGAGCACCTATTATGTTCTGGGCACACAGGACAGAATGAGACACCATCCCTGCAGTCGAGAGGATGGCAGCACAGTGCAGGGACAGCCACATAAACAGAACATGGTGTGGCATTCAGATCGTCTCCTCCTCTGTGACCTGGACGTAAGAATAGTGCCCACAGCTTGTAAGGCAGAGAGAGGAGTGCATGGAAACCCCTGGTTGGTCACTGGTGTGCTTATTATTCTGACCTGTCTCCTAGGAGGCAGAAGGCGATGGGCAATCCACTTGAGATGACTTTCAGAAGCTTAAGGGCATACGCTTTGTGCAAAGTCTGTTGAGGGTAGAACCTGTAACACACAGGCCAACGTGAGTCATGTTATATCGCAAATAAAAATCGGCCCATGAATATACATAATCCCCCAGGTAATTCTCTCAATCTCAGAACGGTAATGGAGCCACCCTCGCTCACTGAGGCATGAATATTTACCATCCTCTGGCTTTACTGCTCTCGATCTGGCTTCAATTTTGCAAATTAAAATGAGGGCTGTGTGGATAGAGAGATTACAGGAGAGCCTCTGAAGCCTGCTGTCCCCTGGTGAGGCAGCAGGCAGGGTAAGCTGGCTCCCGCCCGCTGGCCTGCTACTTCTGCCTTGAGGGTCAGGAGCCACAGAAAATGGGACAAGGGGTTGGAGGGGGGTCAGGACCTCAGAAAAACACAGTGGGGAAAGGAATGGCACTTAACATGAAACATGTTCCAGGTGGGACAGGTGTGAAAATCCCCAGGCTTTCTCTTTCTGATGGTTGAGAAGAATTCCCGAGGAGCCAAAAGGGCAGAAACTTCATGTGTTGCACCCTGTCTGAACCTAGATTCAGACCCTGTCCAGGACTTGAACACCGGCAAGTCATTTCTCCTCTCTGGGCCTCTGAGTCTTCATGGTACAATGGGGTAAAAACCGCCTTACTCCTGCAGGTGATGTGAGGATAAGGAGCTGCTGTACACGCAGGTGCCTGGCCCAAGTGCTCCCTCGGTGGCGAAGCCAGGCATCAACCGCTGCTCGTCTACACATCTGCCATCTGTTACCTGTTAGTACACGGCCACTCAGGAAGAGGAGTGGGATACTGTCTGTGACACTCCAGGCAAGACCAGAATGGCTTGCCATGGGCAGCCATGCTGGCAAATAGGTGACACTGACTTTGTTACAAAGGGAGCTGCTTGCAACCAGGGCCACCAGGGACAGCAGTCCGCAGTCTCGCTGGACTTACAAATGGCTGTGGAGAGGTTAGGGAGGGGCCCGCCATTTCTAACTGGGTCTCTGCCATTAATTAGGAGAGAGAACCAAGGGTCCTGTACCTTCTGCTGTCCTGGGTGAAGGGTGCAGGGAGAAGAGCATCATGTGCTGGAGCAGGAACGGGTGGGACAGGGAGCTAATGGCTGCTGCCTGCTGGCAGCTGGCAGACCAGGACATCTGTCCCCACTGCACAACCTGGCTCTCTGGAAACCAAAAGCCAGAGATGGAAAACAGTCACTCAGTCCACCTCAGTTAAAAAACCAGCTGGAACACAGTCTATGAGAAAGTTGTCCCAGCAAAACTTTGCAAAGGACAGCACTTGCCACTAGTCGAGCAACAACTATGTTCCGGGCATTGGCTGAACCCTTTCTAACCCCCCTTGCCTCACAGCAGTCCATCACGGGAGGGCGCCATGCAAGCTTCATGCAGTCTCACCACCAGCAAGTGCTGGGCCAGGGCAGGCTGACGGCCTGGCTCTCCCCACTGTGCCAGATGGGCTCCTGTCCACAGAGCCTGTTGTATGCCCTGTACTATGCCATGTCTAGAGAAACAGGGGACCAGGCACAACTCCATCCTGCCTCTGCCTGGAGTGCACAGTCACCTAACAACCAGTTCCCATGGCCCACATGGCAAGGGCTGCCCCAGTGTGGCAAGGAGGGTGGGGGAGCCCTGAGAAAGGAACCATGGTTACCACCTGGCAGGGAACTGGGAGGAAACCTCAGAGAGGAGGGGACATCTGTGCCAGGCCTGTGGATGGACGGAGCAGCTGGAGCAGAAGGCTGAAGGGGGCAAAGGCCCTGAGGCCTGCAGAGGGCCCAACTGGTCAGCAGCCGGCGAGAGAATGGTACGTGAGCACAAATGGCTGCAGCTGAGGCAGGAGCCAGGCAGTGCAAAGCCCGAGGGTCAGGCCAAGGAGCTGGAACTCTCCTCTGCCGGCAGATGAATACCGTGAGATGCCACACAGGGGTGAGGAGTGATGAAGTACAAAGGTCAGAACGACTCCAGTGGTAGCCCGGGTGGAAAGAGGACTGATGGGGAAAAAGACTCTGGGCACAGAGCAAATCGGAGCAAACTGTAATGACAGGAAGAGGACGCCAGCCCCAGAGGGGCCCTTGTGCTGATCCCTGAGCATGTCCACAGTTCTCACAGTGTGCCTGGCATGCAGCAGCACCAAGCACACGCTGAGGGTAGGAAAGGCCAGAGTGAGCGTCTGAGCTCCAGCAGCGGGGCGGAGAACAGGCCAGGCTTACAAGTCTGGGGACGCACTGCATGTGAGCACACCGTGTGTATGAAGGAAGAAAACCCACGGGTTCTCCTGGCCTGGCAGCAGACAGCCACAGACCTCCTGGGAATGCTGGCTGTCGTCCCCCAGCCAGCAGCACGCACTGCTTCTGCGGGGCCCTTGCTGCCCTATTGAGGCCTGGTACCAAAGGGTTACTGGCTCTGCTTGGAAAACTCTAACCCCCAGCCTGCCAGAACGTCTTCTATTTTTCTTTCTGCTTTCTTTAAGACCCCAGATGTGCTCTTGCACATCAAAAGAGAGCAACTTATAAAGTTAAACTAAATCAAGGGCTTTTGTTCTGAGGCATCGTGGCTGAACTAATTATTCCTGTATGTTGTTTAATGAAATAGTGGTGCCATATATTAAACCAGTTAACAGGATGAGCACATGAGTTACAAGGAAGGTCGGGGCTGGGATTATAAATTTAACTTTTTCTTAAGAAGAGATGAAACAAACCACTCAACTCCCTGCTGTCGTATGTCATGGGAGGGGAAAATGATGGCACTGAGCAGCATAGAGGGAGGGCTGTGCCCCGGTTCACGGTGCTGGCGGCACCGAGCTGGGCGGTAACCCCACGCTGCTGGCTCACCGCCCCAGGTCCTCTGTGCTGAGCTCCAGGCAGGCTCAGGGCTCACTCCTCATCCCCCACGTGCCCTTGGTCGCCAGATCTTCAGCCCACGTGACAGTCCTCCGGAAATTCAGAAACAGCCCTAAACCACTTCACACATGCTGAGATGCTGTGCAGCACACTTTCCCATAGCCAAAAACACTGGAAACCACGTGCCTGTCGATCATAAGGGGATGGGGCAAGAGTGCAGGAGCGCTCTTCTGTGGACCAGGATGCAGTGAGTGAAGAGAGGGGGAGAGCGGTAGGCATCGGTATGAGATGGTTCTGCTACATGCTAAGTGAAAACACTGACATAACAAACAATGCCTATGACAGAAGCCTGTTGTGCTTTTTATTCCTAAGTGTGTATATTAGGGTGTGGTGCATTTGTGTGCATTAAAAAAGGGTGAAAGAACACAGAGCATGCTCTTAACACTGGCTTTCTCTGGGAAGTAGAATTTTAGGAAACTTTAACTTTACCTGATAGTGAATTAATTATTCACAACAAGCATGTATTTCTATTATAACTGAATAAATACCACGCTCTTTGAAAAATAAATCCACAAACAAGCAGCAATACCTCTGCGCCACAGACTAGAATTAGAAGGGTGATCAAAAGGACTTGGTCTTTTCTGGCAATGCATAAAATATCACAATAAAAATATATTTCACGTACTACTTGCATAATAATTAAGAAAACATTTAATATTATGCAACCAATAAAATGGCAACAAGCTAAGAACTTTCAAAGATATGAGGACATATGAAACAGTGGTACCAGAATGCATCAGAAATAGTGACATTATATTTAGTAACAATTAAACATAGTGATCTCCACTATACAAATGTATAACATATAGCATAGGAAGGTGAAATAAAGGAAATTCATATAAAAGTTATCACTAGAATTATGGCCAATTTCTTTCCTTATAAACCCTGCCAAGGTGACACCACTGGCCCTGACGAGTATGCAGTTTTCAAGAAATGGAGCTTTACACTCCATACCACTGACAGTGTGCAGGGACTTCAAGCCCAAGGATGGCTTCTGACAAATAACTAATTGGCTACAACACAAGGTACCAATGGTAGACTCCCTCCCTCCCTCCTGGGCCTCCCCAGGAGCTCAGGCCCTGGCTTCTGGCAGAGGCCATAGCAGCCTCAGCATGGCCCTCGGGCACAGGCTCTGCTCAATACATCTTATTGGCCGTGTGGCCTTGAGCAAGGGCCTTACTCTCTCTCAGCCTCCATTTCCTGAGTATAAAGGCATGGAGGGTCCTACTGCCCATGATTACAAGCAAACTCAACTGTGGTCATCAATTCAAAGATCCTGGCTCACAGAGAGGGCTCAGCAGTCATTTTATTTTTCTGCTGATAATAATAGTGATATCTGACATGCATGGAGCACATATCACATACCTCACCCTGGGCCTAAGTGCTTTACATGCATTAACCCATTAATCTCCACTACCAATGAGGCAGGTACTCTTATTATCCCCCACTTTACTGCTGAGAAAATTAAGTTCCAGCAGACATAAATATCTTATCCCAAGTCACATAGCAAGGAAGTGGTAGCATTGATAAGTCTGGCTTCACAACCCAGCCATAATACACCACACTCTATTGCCTCTTTGATGTAAGTGTGGGCTCCTGTGTGTGTGTTAGGGAGAGACATTGGCTTCCCAAAGGCACATTAGGAAGCAGCCCTGAAGAGCAGGTGGTGTGGATGTTGATGGCTCCAGGCGACCCCCATCCCTGCCTTCTCAGCTACAGGTCTGCCCCAGGACTAAACTCCAGAGCTACACATTTGTGCACAGCACTGCTCAGCTCTTCCAAATCCCACTGGAGCAGTGGTTCTCAACCTGGGGTGACTCCCCCACCTCTGGGAAAGTTGGCAATGTCTGGACCTGGATACATTTTTGGTCGTCACATGGTGGGTGGGGGTGTTATAGATATCTACTGGGTACAGACAGGGATGTTTCTAAACATCCTACAATGCCCAGGACAGCCTTCATAGCAAAAAATTATCAGGTAGAAAAATGTCAACAGGCTGGGAGCAATGGCTGATGCCTGTAATACCAACACTTTGGGAGGCACAGGTGGAAGGATCACTTGAGGCCAGGAGTTCAAGACCAGCCTGGCCAACATGGCAAAACCCTATCTCTACAAAAACGACAAAAATGAGCCAGGTGTGGTGGTGCACACCTGTAATCCCAACTAATCAGGAGGCTTAGGCACAAGAATAGCTTGAACCTGGGAGGCGGAGGTTGCAGTGAGCAGAGATTCCACCATGGCACTCCAGCCTGGGTGATGGAGTAAGACTCTGTCTCAAAAAATAAAATAAATATAAATAAAATAATAAAATAAAATGTCAACAATGTTGAGCTTCAGAAATCCTGCACCAGAGAGAAAAAAGAAAGAGTTCCTTATTTGCTAAACATTTTCTGGATAACTCCCTAAAAACTGCTCTCAAGGACATTGAGCCACTGAAACCTCAAAGCAGACAGGATACACACAGCTGTTCTTACCAACAGTTGGTTAACGTGCTCTCCAAACAACTACTCTATGCCTCAATGAGAGGGAGAGAGAGAGCAGCATGTCCTTACGGTAGATTCCTAGGCAGAGGCTAAACAGACATCCACATGTACAGATGTAGAACCATCTTGCATCTAGAGTGGAGGAGATAAAAGCAAGGGGTAGCACACTGGGTAGGGCCTGGTGTAAGAAACAGGGGGAGATACATAAGCTTCCACATGCAGAGGTTATCACCAGAATGGCAGCAGCAGTGGCTGCCTAGGAGGGAGAGACCAGGGACCCAAGACAGGGGGTTGTCAGGGAGACTTAACTCTAATCACTGCATAACCTTGGCATCTTTTGCCTTTTTAACCATCTGCCAGTATTACCTTTTCAAAGTAAACTAACAAAAATGTGCTACATTCATATATGTCCACATGAGGGGCCTTCTCACACATCTCATGAGAGCCCGGGAACAGTTCTCTGCTGTGCTCATGAGGATGTCCTGGTTACAAGTGCCCTGTTAAAAATGGAGATGCCAAGAGCCTGACTTGCCAAAGCCCCGTTACCAGGCAGCGGTGAAGTCAGGTTCCCAAAGTGGACCTCCTCATGCCTGAGTCCTGGGTGTGGCATCCATAGACTCTGGGAGTGGGAGGCCTACCTGCCAGACCTGGCTGGCTGACCAACTAGCTTAGATGGTGACAGGGATGCCTGGGCTCTGAAGATGCAGCCTGGTCACTAACTGAATGCAACATGCCACCCGTGGCTCCCACATGGCATGGAAAGGCAAGAAGCACAAAGCTGCATCGACCAGAAACATGAGTGCAACCCTGTTGCCAGGAGGATAAACCCTTCCTTGCATCTCCATTTTGCCCTGTCCTTGGCTTTCACAAATGGTTACCCAGACAACTGCCCTTTTCCTGGACTCCCCCAATTGGATGTTGGCAGGAGACATCAATTTCTCTTTCAGGGAGAGGCACACTATCAACTGGCTGGGAGAGCCAGGATGTAGCCTTTTCCAAGAGCTGGCAGGAATAGGAAAAACCAGTTTCTACCCAGATTCTACAACATCCCAGGTGCTTCCCATGGTCATCCTCATCACAATGCTATGGCATGGAAATAACTTACAGACAAGGGGGCTGAGACCTACGGAGGCTACTTGACTTGACCAAGTTCACACCGCCAAGAAATGGTAACCCTAGACTTTAACCAAGGGCTGTATGAGTCCAAAGTTAATGCTCACCCTCAAACCAGACCATCTTCCCAGGGAACTATCTCTTTCTAGAAGTTTAGAATTTTCTATATATGGTAATGCAGAAAAACTGTCTTCTGGGTATTCTTTTACTAAAAGATACAGCTAAATGGTTAAGGAAAAGAAAAGGGAAGAGAAAAGAAAAATTGCAGAGGGCCTTCTCCCTCCTCCCCACAGCCTGGCCCAGGTCCCTTTGCCAATCCAGCTAGAGGAAGCCACACCTGCTGTAGCCCTGCCTGTCATCTGTACCTTGACAAGCAGGTCAGGACACAGGGCCTGCCACAAGGATGGTGGCCCACCCATCTCTCAACTGTTTCTCATTAGCGGGAACATTCCGCTTTTCAACAACCATGGACGCCTCTGTCCTTCCTTGGAGGGTGAAGGCGGAGCCTCTTCTAAACACTGGTATTCTGAACCCCGGTGGGTGCCCACACCAAACAAAGGCTCCCCTATTCCAGCGCAGTCTGGTGACACAAAGGCGGTGGGATCCCGCTACTCCATCCTCTGCGCATGGAAGTAGCCAGCAGTTGGACAGGACCAAAACTCCAGGAGAGAGAGCTGGCCTAGGTCCAGGTGCTTGGGGCAGCAGCGGGGACCCTGCCTGTCTGAGACCCAGCACTGCCCACTTCTGTGTAACTCAGGAGCTCTGGTTCTCTCATCTCAGAGAGAGATGATAACAGTCCCTACTTCACAGGGTTGTCTAGGGTTAAATCAGAAGAAAAGGCATGTAAAATGCTTGGCTTTGTATCTGCCACATAGTGGGGTCTTTCCCTTTCTCAAGTTCTGTCTCAGAATCTTCTCAACATGGAACTCTTGACGGTACAGCCAATCCATCAGAGGTGGAAATGGGATGAAGCTTTTCTTATCCCTCATGTGAATTCAGGGACAAATCAGCATTGATGAGCACTGACTGTGGGCCAGGCACGGTACTAGGTGCTGGGGATTCCAACATAGAGAGGTTGGGAGCCTTCTCTTAAGCAGCACAGAGTCAAGCGGGAAGAGGGGTGACTGGGCTATGATAAGGAGCAGAGCTCAACTCCATCCTCAGGACAGATGCAGCTCCCAGGAAGAGGTGGGACGTAAGAGCTGGATTTTGAAATATTTCTAAGAGTGTTTCAAATGGTCAGGGCTGGAAAGGGCGTCCCTTGCAAAACAACAAGGAACACTCCTGAGTGCCCACTCCAAGCACATGAATAATCAATGTATGCTCAGAAACACTCTGAAAAGAGATGGAGGCACAGAAAGGTGAAGTCCTTGGCCCCAGGTCACAAAAGAAAGAGTGCTACCGAAGCCTGAAAGGACAAGGCAGCTGCTGGACAGGGAACCAAACTAGCTCCGTGGGCCTGAAGCTCCCCATGCATGGCTGCAGAGGAAGACAGGCTGCCAGCCACACACTTCAAGTTTGGAGCTGTGCCCTGAAGGTCACGGGACCATGCAGGCTTTTAGTGGGACGTAGAGGGCTAGCCCCATTAGCTGGCACTCAGAACACAACTGTGGAGCTAAAATCCTTCCCTCCTTCCCTACAGGAATCTGGTTTCCAAACATTTAACATGTCCATGCTTCTTCTGACCACCTTTCAAATTCTCTCCTCTGTAGTAAAATGGCAGACCCAGAATGGGGCTCAGCATTACCGAAGAGGAAGGTGAATGCTGTGAAAGGAGAATTAGTTACACTTCACATGGGTCCACAGTTGAAAATTGCAGAAAGGTCAGATTTCTGTAAAAATAACTACATTTTCAATGAATGAGGAGACCATGCAATTAGAGGGAATCTCATGGTTAGTCCTTTTCTAAAACACATTGGTCTAAATCTGAATTTTAATTTTAAAAATTTTCTTAGAAGGATATCACCTGCATTATCTTTTCTTACTTTTCCAGTTCATTCACATTGTTGTGTAGTTTGTTTCCTCACCTACACTCCTTTTAAGTAAAACCAAACAGTTTTATCAAGTGGGCCTTTCCCCACACAGAATGTTGCATCAATAGAAGGCCTCCCCAGCCACTGCCACTGTAATAGTCACCTGCAGCCAGTACTGCTGAGACCAGCTGAGGGACAGAGGCCTCCAGACCTGCTTGCCAGGTGGGCAGGGTGGGGCAGCAGAGCACAGGGGCCTGACCTCCAGAGCCTGAGCACTACTGCAGGTTTCCAAACTGAGGTGGCAATGCAGTGCATTAAGACCAGTGGTTTTCAAGTGAAAAGGAAAATAAAAAATTGGAGTAGAATGCAATGCAATGGAAGTCAGGAGGTAAGGATACTATTTTGTAAAGCCTTTCACTTTCTCCACCTGCATGTGCATTGGGTCATGATACAGTCTATCTGTACAGTGATTATGAGGAAAAGGTTGGAAAACACTGTTCTGTTGTGTGCCTACAAAGAAAACAGCAGCATGACTCTCTCTGTGGGCCTCCTGTAAGTGTGGGAGACCAGGGGATAGGCGCAAGGCCACTGGCACGAGGTTGCTAAGAGGCAATCTCTTGGCTATGACCTTGTACAATTTTAGAAACTCTCAAGAAGCCAAACTAAGAGAGTGAGTAAAAGCCACAACCTCCAGGAGTCAAGATTACGGGGCAGGAGCAGTCAAAGCTGAAAGATGCGGAGATGGTTGTATGTGGCCCCTTGCTTCCAGAGGGAAAGGAGAGAAAAAGGAAATCCTGTGACTTTCTCCCTACCCTTAATTAAATACACAACTAAGGTGAGTTCTAATTTCCTAACCTTGCCAAAAGGCTCATCACTAAGCCACAGGAATATTCTTGGCAGTGCCTCAGATGGTCTAAAAATGCTGTGGCCAAAGGGCATCCAGATGATAATGGTGACACCTGCTTTTCTCCCTGAAAAGCACAGATACCGCACCTGCCTTTGGTTCTGTTATGACTTCATTAAGCTGCACAAGGTGTATGTGATTGGAAAAGCAACTGCTCCTTTGTTTTGCTTTTTGATTTCCTTCTCCAAGTGTGTCTATTTTAAATGGGTCAATGGATGTTAATGCTAGGAAAAGCTGACATTTGAATAAGATCACAGAGTGTGGCATCCAGCACCTCAGCAGGCCAAGCCAGGCTAGGTCAGGAGAGTGGGGAACTCTGAGGCCCCAGAGTGGGCGCCAAGAATCGGTGTGTCCAGGCCCTTCCTGCAAAGCACCTCTGCCCTTCTTGAGTAGAGAAGAGTTTCCAGAAGCTCCACACCTGAAGGAGTAGGGGTTTCTCTGGCTGGGCACAAAACTCCCAAGTGATTCTGACTTATGCCTCACTCCCTAGGCATTAGCCTTTCTCAGCTTGCTTTCACCCTCTGCCAGCATCCTCTAATTTGAATCTTCACAGCTAAAGTCACCATGACTTATGGCCAGAACCGATGGTCTTTTACTTACTGGTAAAAGTTTCTCCTTTGAACCTCAGTTTCCCCATCTGAAAATAAAGGCTTAGGTCCTACTCATTGGGTACACTGGTTATGTACATGGCCCCAGTAAGCGTTCAGCAGACAGCAGCAGGGGCCTCTCTCTTCTCTCTAGCCTCTGTGCGCTGACCCCTCTCATCCAGAAAGGACATTATCCTTGATTTTCCTGCTCTAGGCTTCCTCCTTTCCCATTTCTTCCTCTAACTCCAAACGCCAGCTGGCCCTCTCTCAGCTATCGCCTCCCCTCTGCCCTCTTTGCACCTGCTCAGTCTCCACCAGGTGCTGACAGCTGTTCAGGGCAGAGTCTCTGTCAGCTCTTCCTCTCCACTTCCACAGCCACCCACCGGAATTCAGGTCCTCTCCAAGCCATGTGCCAGGACTACACTTACAGTTTGTGACAAGCTGTTCCATCACCCTCTCGTGAACAAATAAACCTTCACTTTCACACTCTTGCTCATGGGCGAAGGCAGTCTTTCCGAATGAGATCATGCGTACAAACACCTAGTTGACTATCTGGCAGCCAGTAGGTTCTCAACCATAGTTGAAACACCTCAATTTTCAGTTCAAAAGAACAAAACACAAAACAAAACAAACACACCTCACGGACTCTCTTTAGCAGGCTGCAAGACAGGGATCAGCAGCTCCATTTCACAGACGGGGAAGCTAAAGCTCCGGCTCTATGCACCTGCAGACAGCAGGGGCGGTGTCTTGAGCTCTCCCATCCATGGTTCTAGGGCACAGGACCCATTTCCAAACTGGATTCCAAGGAGCCTTGTGTTCCCAGGGAGTCCTGGGGCTGCCATAGGTGTGAGGAGGGGCAGGAACAGAAGGGCCCAAGTCACCCATTTGCATTTCAGCCAGACTGGCTCCCTTTCTATAGGTTGTATTTGTGGGGATTCTTCATAAAATTTGATATTCAAGTTCTTTAGCTAAAAATGTTTAAAAGCTATTGGCATGAGGGGTAAAGCTTAGGTTTTGGGGGACTGGCTTACTGGTTCTCACTCAATAGCTGTGCGATTAAATGGCATTTGGCTTCAGTTTTTCCAGCTGCAAAGAGGGGATAAGAGTCCCAGCTTTGGAAGATTCCTGAGAGGATCAGAAATTAGTACTTGGAGAGCCTAGCTCAGCACGTGGCACACAGTAGGTACTCAAGGAAAGCTATGTCTTCTCCCAATTCCCCCTCCCCTGACACATCCAATCCAGCCTGGCACACACACTAAGCTGGCACCAAGAAGGACTGAGGTCAGAGCCTTGGCCCCTGCCAGGATGACTTGGCTCTTCCAGTCTGAGTGGTCAGGAACCTGGGCCACTGGGCATCATATAATAAGAGCAGAGCTACGGCCAAGCTTGGCCTCCAGCCTCTTCTGAGACCCACTCCTGGGTCTGAATGACAGAGACTGAGGTCACTGCTGAGAGCACCACTTTTCCAACTATACTTAACTGTGGGCGCAGAGCATGTGTGCAAGTTGCCGTGAGTTCCAACTACTTAGTCTTTCACCCTTAGCCACACAGTTCAACTGACAAGATGGGCACTGTTATGCCCAGGTGACCCCAGGGAACCAGGCACTGCCTGGGCCTCACAGAGCTCCAACAAGCATGTGCTCTCGCCTGCCACAAAGCCCAGGAGAGGCCTACAGGGAGAGCGCACAATCAAAAGCATCTTCATCATCCTTGAAAATGGCACAAGGTCAGGGCCAACTCCACAGTCAGCATCATCTCCACTTTACAGAGAAGACCCTAGGAGACTTAGTGATGGCCCCACTCACACAGGTGAAAGTATTGCAGCTGGACTGATACCCTGCCCAATGTGTGCACAGGCTGAGCACTATTTCTCTTAATGCCCAGTGCCAGATGCTGCAGGAGTCAGTCTAAATACACTTTCCTGTCTGTTCTTGTTGCGAATAAAGCAGCTCAGTCAATACTTTGCCCAGTTCATCCAGCCAATATTCGCTGAACCCCTACTGGAACCACAGGCCTGGAGGAATAGAGACCAAGTGGACATAGGGTATGCCTCTAGATATTTTATAAAGGCTCATCAGGCACCCTGTGGGAGCCAGGCCTTAACTTCCAGGAAGTTTTCATGCTAGCTGGGCCCCGCTGGGTCCCTCTTCCTCACTGATACCTAGACATAATCACCACAGGGAGAGGGTACAAGAAAAGCCCCTGCTAATCTCCACCCCCAACAATAAACCAAGCCCTTTCCTCCACATTCAACACTGGGGTCTGGGCCCCAGGGAACATGGACTCTGAACTGGGTGTCATTTTTCTCCAAGTCTTTGGCTCCATCTGCTGTCTCTGACTGTCACATGGAGCTGAGGCTAGAAACAGTGCTCAGAGGGTGCCTGCCAGCCTTGGGAAAAGCTTGGAGAGGGCAGGGGCAGGCAAGGCCCCATGTGTGGCCAGGCCCCACACCCAGCAGCAGAGCTGCTCTCATTCTGGGAAGGTGGGGCAGGTAGGACGTACTGGTGAGAAGACTGCTAGCCTGACCCTTGAGCCCCCTGCAGTCTGGTTCCAATTAAGTCCAAAAGTGAGCCTAGTTACCAGGTTACCCTGCTTGCTACAACTTGTCTTAAAAGCTAGGAACCATTTCACGCAGGGTGACCTGGGGTTTCACCCATGGTGCGATGCTGCCGTATGGGCTAAGTAGAAAGATTTTAGAATTTAGAAAGCCTTGGATTGGGGATGAATCACAGCTCAACCAATTAGCAATTGAGTGACCTTGGAAAAGTCACCTTCCTAAGTCAGTTTTCTCATCTGACAAAAAATATAAGAAGTACCTTGAAAGGATAGCTTTACGTGAATTAAATGAGAAGATATATGTAAAGTGAGTAGCACAAATCTTATCTTATCCAATAGGTACTTTCAACTACCCATTTTACAGATGGGGAAACTGAGGTTCAAAAAGTTTTTTTAGAACTTTTAAAAATGATTTTGATTTTAAAAAGCTACTATATATTGTAAACAAGAATCACATCTAAAACAAAATGACTCAGAAAGGTGAAAAGTAAAAAAAAGATAGATTACGTTAACAAATAGAAAACTGGATTGCCAAATTTAAATCTAACAAGCCTGAATTCTAGGCAGAGGAGGTTAAATGAGTCAAAGGGGCCACTAATGGTTAATGAAGGGCTTAATTTACAGTGAGGATATGAATAGTAAATATTTATATATCAAAAGGCAGAGCAACAAAATTTGTAAAGCACAAATTGTAGGCAATGCAAAAACAAACAATTTATAAAATAAGTGATTAGTTTGAACTAAGACCTATATTATAAGGTGGGGGGTTTATCTCAAACTTTATATTCTTATAACAGAATAACTCTTCTTTTTAAAAGCCGTTGGATCATTTACAAAATCATATATTAGGCCACAAGGAAAACTCAATAAACTCCAAACAGCTGACATGACACAGACCATATTCTCCCTTCACAGTGCAATAAAAACTTTAAATGCATGACAAAACAAAGAGGGGAAAAAAACCAAACAACTTGGAAATGAGACGATTTTCTCATTAAATAACTCGAGTTAAAGAAGGATGCAAAAGAGAAGTTGCAGGATATCTAGAAAGTAACATACAGTGGAATGCAACTAAAACGGTGCTCAAAGGACATTCACAAGCTCAAAGGACATTCACAACCTTAAACACCTAGGTAACTATTATATGATCAATGTATTTAGTCTTTAAGTCAAGAAACTAGCAAAAAGACAAATTACCCAATGAAAGAAATACATAGCAAAGATAAAAGCACAAATTATTCTATTAGAAAATATGGAATAATAGAATTGATAGATAAATGCAATTGCAAGTTCTTAAAAACCAGTAAAGCCCAAATACACAAAGTTAGAAATTTTAAAAAAGAAAATTACTACATATAAGAAAGTTTACTTTGCAAAACTAGATACAAATGAATTTGAAGATATAACTTAATAGATAATTTTCTAGGAAAATGTTATGTCAAAATTATCCCTGGCAGAGACTGAAACAAAAGACTAATAATACAAAGGAAAACAGTTTAAGTTATTAAAGTGCTACCCCCAAAAAGTATCAAATTCAGATGGTTTGAGAGACAAATTTCTTCAATCTTCTAAGGAATAGATAACTATTTTAACTGTTTAAAAAGAATAAAGGAGAAAACCTTCCAAATCCTTTTTGTGAGGCTAGCATACTAATACCAAGACTTGACATGACAAAAATTGCCAACCAGACATTTCAATTATGACATAAATATTACTGAAAGAATAATATAAATATTATTGAAAGACCAGAATACAACTAAGTAGGATACCTTCCAGAATGCAATACTAGAAAACATATTAATATAACAGCATAGTAAAAGGTCAAAAGACAAAAACCATAAATCACTCCAAAATACGCCATGAAGATTTTTCCAAAATTAAAAATAATCCTTGATTTAAAAAAATAAAAATAAATGAGTATTTCCTTATGATGAGAGAAAAGATAAATGAGATCGAAAAGCCATCACCTTACTTAATGATAAAACACTCACCACATTCTCATTAAAATTACAAACAACAGGCTGGCATGGTGGCTCATGCCTGCAATTCCAGCACTTTTGGAGGTCAAGCCAGGTGGGTCACTTGAGCTCAGGAGTTCGAGACCAGCTTGGGCAACATGGTGAAACCTTGTTTCTACAAAAAATACAAAAATTAGCCAGGTGTGGTGGTACACGCCTGTGGCCCCAGCTACTTGAGAAGCTGAGGTGGGAGGATCATCTGAGCCTGGGAGGTCAAGGCTTCAGTGAGCCCTGAACGCACCATTGCATTCCAGTCTGGGTGACAGAGTGAGACCCTGTCTTGAGGGAAAAAAAAAAAAAATTACAAACAACGAAAAGATGCCTGCCATTTAACATTGTTCTAGAACTACTAAGCAATGTAATAAGATAAGCAAATAAAATTGAAGGTCTAAACATTTAAAAGGAAGAATGGAAATTGTCACTGTTTGCCAATGATATAATTATATACCTAGAAAACTCAAGAGAATCAACGGAAAAGACAATAAAAACAATACCGAAGTCTGTTTTGGGAAGGTGGCGGGTTACAGGATTATATTTTAAAATCAACAGCTATTCTAAACAAAGAAAAATTTTAAATTATAACGAAAATAAAAATCACATTAATAATAGCAACCAAAATGCCTAAATATAAACTTAAGAAATGTACAGGATCTATTTGAAAAAAACTCAGAAACTCTAAGTAAGTGGAAAGAAAGACAATGCTCTCAGGAAAATTAGATATTATAATGATGTAAACTCTCTTTATATTACATCTATATTCAACTCAATTCAAATTATAATACCAAAAATTATTTTTTGGCAATTAAAAGTAATATTAAAGTTCATCTGAAAAATGCACCAGTAGCTACAGACACTCAGAAAAAACAAAAGGAGAAATAGGGAGGGTTGAGAGGCAGGGACTAGCCTTTCCAGAAAAAAAAAAAAAACCTATTATGAAACTGTAAGAATCAAAAAGAAAAGAAACACTGGCATGGAAGAAAAAATGTGAACAGATCAATAAGACAACAATAAAAAAAGCTCAGAGATGGACTTAAATTCTTAACAAAGGTAGCATTTTAAATCGGGAGTAAAAGAAGGATTACCAACAAGTGGTGCTGGTGCTACTAGTTAACATGGGAAAATAAAGTTAGATACTGTGCTTTCTCCTTGTGTCAAAATAAAGGTAGGCTACATGCAAAAGAATGAAAGAATGAAAACAATTTCAGAAGAACGTATGGGTGAATTTATAATCTTGGAGGCCAGTTTAAGCAGGACAGAAAACACAGAGGTCATAAAAGAATGACAAATTAGTCTCTGTAAGTATGTAAAACTTCTAAATGGATAAAAAAAACCAAGTCAAAAGTTTAATGAGAGAAGGTACAGTAGTTATTTACCACACAACTGACACAGAGCTCATTTCCTCACTCACAGAATTTATATTAATTAATAAGAAAGAAACAGCCTAGTATAAAAATGGGCAAAGACCATAAACAGGTAATTTATAGACAATGAAATGCAAATGGACAATAAACATATGCAAAGATAACCTCATTCAAAAATTAAATGCAAATGGAGTAGCAAGGAAATACTACCTTGTTTCACCTATCAGGTCAGGTAAAAATTGAAATGACTGATGATCCTTAATTTGGGAAGAAGTCTGGGGACGTGGGCCATCTCACATACTGTTGTAGGAATGTAACTTGATACCACCTTTCTGGAGGGAAATTAGGCAATATTTATCAACATTATAAATGCAAAGCGGTCAGGTGCAGTGGGTCATGCCTATAATCCCAACACTTTGGTAGACGGGAGGATTGCTCCTGTTGTCCAGGAGTTTGAGACTAGCCTGGACAAAAAAGTGAGACCTCCGTCTCTACAAAATAATAATAGTAATAATAATAATAATGTTTAAAAAAATGCAAAGCAATATATCATTTGATGCAGTAATCACAATTTTTAAGGATTTACCCATGGATATACTCATACAAGTCCATCAAGTTACATACAATGGGATGTTTATGCAGCATCAACTGTAATTTTTTTTAAAAGGCAACAGTCCATCAATGGCACTAAAATACTGGTTAAATAATATGGTACAGCCATATAACAGGGTATTTATGAAACACTGAAGTGAGACAGATGTAAATATACATGCTGAGAAATATTTGTAAGATCACAATAATAAAACAACCATTTCTTGTGAGTATAATTTTTAAAATAGCTTTATACACTTATATACGTGAGTATATGCATAAAATTGTTTCTGGGAAAATTCAGAAAAATTGTTAATAATGGTTATAAAGAATGGGTTTGGGATAGAGGAGGAGAGGCTCCTACTCTTCATTTTGTAACTTTCGTGCTGTTAGAATTTCCCAACCATATATATAACTTACCTCCCCCAAAAAAAAACAAAAAACAAAATCAATGATTATCTGATTATTTTTTCCTCTTCTGTATAAAAATTAGAAATGTTTTTAGATATTTTGCTTATAAGCCAAACTTTTTTAAAAAAATAATTGTTTTAGGATATTTATTTCTTACACTTTATGACTGGCATATGAAACCTAAGCTGGAAATCAGGGCATTAAATCAGTCGGCCTGCAGGATCAACCTCTCCTACCATCTGAAGCACCAGACAAGGGGCACTAACCCAGCTCTTCCCTTCACCCTCCTTTATTAATATGGCCATGGGTTTTGTCCTGCTTTGAAACCAGGTGCAGTTACAGCAAAATGCACACTAATATTATAAGTGATAATAAAAATTAAACAGTATTAAAATAGCATCTTTCTACCACAAAAGGAACAGGCGTATCACTCTATGCATTACATTCCTGCCCTCTTCCCAGCCCCATACCCCCGACTGCCTTTGGACCAAGATGATAAATGTCATGCCAAGAAAGTTATCATTATAACCAATCCACTAGGAAGTGGAGGAAAATGATTTAATTTTGACAACTAAATGAGCTTTGACAGATGGTTTAACTAACACTCTAACCAACTTGCCCTGATAAAAATCAGCAGTTTTTCCACTTCAATGAGAAAAATTCATCTTCACTCCATTAGGTAACTTTGAGTAGCCCCCCAGGTCCCTTCTGCATGGCCTGACCACACTGGTCTGCCTGCCAGCTTCCCAGTGGGGTCTTCCACTGAGCCTCATTTCCTGCCCCCCATGGGAGTTCTTTCTCCCAGGAACTGCTGCTCTACCCCTCCTCATTAAATGTTGCGACATGTGTAAGTCCCTTCTGCACACCAGTCTCTTTCCTCCTGCCCCATTCCCAGGCTCACCCCTCAGGACTTCTCCCCTCCAGTCTGTCAAGAGTAACTCCACAGCTCCAGGAGAGAAACAAAGTTGCCACTAGGGAAAAGGACAGAAGGAAGAGGTGCCTAAGGAGGACACTGGACAGGTAGGGGGTGAACAGTTCTGAGTCTCTGAGAGTACGTTTAGCAGGCCTGGAGTCCAACACCTGCCTCCCCTTGACATCCTGATGGCCTCCTGGGAACCACTTACTGAGGGCCAGTTAGACTTTCTGTGACTTGCACCAGTAAAGTCCCTGACCGGTTCACCACATTTCAGTTCTGCAGCCCACCCTGTGTCCCGCCCATGTGCAGAGCCCCAGGCCCAGGAGAGGTTCACAGCCTAGGCATGATCAGGCTTCACAGGGGAAGTGAGATGTACACCAAGCCTTTTTACATATGGGTAGGAGCTGCCCAGGTAAAAGGAAGAGCTGGAACAAGCGTGCACACCGGAGGAGCTGCATGGGTGCAGCTGCGGGGCCTCCCAGTTATGTAACCTTTCACCACCACTGGCAAGTCTCCACGGCTTCACTGGCTGCTTCAACTCAGCAAAGACCCCTTTAAAGCATGACCCCCCCAGGACGGAACATTGCACATATCACATGCTCTAGCCTGGAGCTGGAGAGTGCAAATAACCACATTACCACTTGTGCTGATAGGTTCTTCTCCATCGATGGAGCTTGTTTGAGGATAAAGAATTTTACATTTATCCCTATTTAACTATAATGATCAAGTACAAAAACCTGAAATCAGCTTAAATAGACAATAAGATAAAATAATTTAGGCATATGCAAGAAACATGCAAAAAAAAATACCCAAGCATAGAACAATAAGCACAGTATAGTCCTACTTGTTTAAAAAACACTAAGTATCTATTTATGCTTATACATGCACAGGAATTATCTGGAAGAGTAAATTTTCAAATTGTCAAACTTCTGGGAAAAAGGTACTGAAAGGTATGAAAGTTTTATTTTTCATATTGCATTAGGATTATTTCTTCAATGCACATAGTCTATACATATGTATGTGTTGTTTTAAGCTACTAAATTAGTGGTACCAAAAACTTAGTGGTAATTTATTGTAGAAGCCATGGGAACAGAAATAAAAATAGAAAACTAACATGATTGCCATTAATAATATATTAATAGTATATTTCATCACACTGGCCTTTTTTTTTTTTTTTTTTTTTCAGACAGAGTCTTGCTCTGTCACCAAGCTGGAGTGATTCTCCTGCCTCAGCCTCCTGAGTAGCTGGGACTACAGGTGCGTGCCACCACGCCTAGCTAATTTTTGTATTTTTAGTAGAGACAGGGTTTCACCATGTTGGCCTCGATCTCTTGACCTCGTGATCCACCCACCTCAGCCTCCCTAAGTGCTGCGATTACAGGCGTGAGCCACCTCGCCTGGCCCGCATTGGCTTTTTACCATCATTCCAGCCTATCAAGATCCAAGAATGAGATAAAAGGCCAGATTCCTGCTTACAGTGCTGGAGTCAAGAATGGGAGATGAAAGAAAGAAGTTAAGATGGGGGAAATTCTGGGACAAAGAGAAAGGCAGCTGGGGAGGTGGCCAGAACAGCTGTTCCAGAATCTCTAGGCCAGTTCTAGCACACCCAGACTTGGGAAGAACACATGCTCCTTTTCCAAGCTGGGGGTCTGCTCTGCCGGGGAGCTGACTACCACCAGTGAACATCACCTGGGGAAGAAAACCCCTGCCCAGGCCCAGACCCCAAACCAAAGAAAGCCACAGGGCTTACATGCTGGGAAAGGGGCAGAGCCAAAGTCAGGGCCACAATCAGGACACACAGGAACCACCCCAGGACTTGGATCACACCTCAAGAGTGCACGAGGTGCTCCTGACATTTTTGCCTTTTCTGATTTAATCCTCACAGTAACTCTATGAAAGCAACGAAGAAGAAGGCTAAGGTTTATGAAATACGTGGTCATCTCTGAGGAGCAGGTATTACTTATAATCCTCATGTTAGGGCTGAGGGAAGTAAAGCTCATAGAGCTGAACAGGACCAAGAACACACAAGGGAGTCAGCTGTTGGCCTGGACCTGAACCCAGGTCTGTGCTCTGGGTTTCCCATGCCTTCCTCCAGGCCTTCCCCATGTGTCAGGTGGTCATGGACATCAAAATATTTTTGTCTTCACAGAGCACTCAACAAGTAGTTCCTGAGCACATGCTACAAGCCAGAAAACAGTGGTGACTAGAAAATATTTGCAGGCTATCCATCTGACAAGGGATTAATAACCAGACTGTATAAGGAACTCAACTTAATAGCAAAAAACAAACAAACAAACAAAAACACATAAATAATCTGATGAATAATGGGCAAAAGACCTGAATAAATTTCTCTAAAGGAAGCACACAAATGGCCATCAGGTATATGAAAAAATGCTCAACTTTACGAATCATCAGGGAAATGCAAATCCAAACGACAATGAGTTACCACCTCACCCTAGTTAAAATGGCTTTAATCAAAAAGACAAAAAGTAATGGATACTGGTGAGGATGTGGAGAAAGGGGAATGCTAGTACACTGTTGGTGGGAATTTAGATTGATACGGCTCCTATGGAAAACAGTATGGAGGTTCCTCAAAAAAGTAAAAATAGAAGTACTATATGACCCAGCAATCCCACTGCTGGGTATATACCCAAAAGAAAGGAAATCAGTATATCAAACAGATATCTGCACTTCCATGTTTACTGCAGCACTATTCACAACAGCCAAGATATGGAATCAACCTAAGTACCCACTGAGAGATAAATGAATAAAGAAAATGTGCTATATGTACTCAATGGAATACTATTCAGCCATAAAAAAGAATGAAATCTTGTCATCTGCAGCATCATGGATGGAACTAGAGGCCATTATGTTAAGTGAAATTAGCCAAGCACCAGAAGACAAATACCATATGTTCTCACTCAAATGTGGGGAAGTGGGTCTCATGGAGGTAGAGAGTGGATTGGTGGTTACCAAAGGCTGGTGGGCAGGGGGATGGGATAAAGAGAGGTTGGTTAATTGTTACAGAGTTAGACAGAAGGAATAAGATCTAGTGTTCTAACGTACAGTAGGCTGACTATATAGTTAACAATAATGTATTGTATAGTTCAAAGTAGCTAGAAGAACTGGAATGCTCCTAATATAAAGAAAAGACAAATGTTTGAGGTGATAGATACCCCAATTACCTTAATTTGATCATTACACACTGCATGAATGTATCAAAATATCATATGTGCCCCCAAATATGTACAACTATTATGTATCTATTTTAAAAAATGGCCAGGTGTGGTGGCTCATGCCTGTAATCCTAGCACTTTGGGAGGCTGAGGCAGAAGGATTGCTTGAGCCCAAGAGTTTGAGACCAGCCTGGGCAACACATGCAGACCCCATCTCTATAAAAAACTTTAAAATCAGCTGGGCATGGTGGTGCATGCCTGTGGTTCCACCTACTCAGGAGGCTGAGGTAGGAAGATCGCTTGAGCTGGGGAGGTTGAGGCTGATGGCGCCACTGTATTCCAGCATGAGTGACAGAGACCCTGTCTCAGAAAAGCAAAAAACAAAAAACAGTGGTGTCATAGACTGGCACAAGGGAGTAAGAGAAGATGATCCAGGCATATGCCCCCATTTGTTCCAAGGGGAAAAGGTGATTTCTTGAAGCCTGTGTCAGCTTATCTGGCAAAATATTGCTGTAAACTGGGAGGATTCCCACTCCCTGCCTGAGGGCACATGTGATGCACCCTCCTTGGCTGTCCCAGGGCCTACTGACTGGCTTCAGCTCCTGGACTGCAGCAATGTGTGCCCCAGAGGCATCCAGGAAGTACTTGGAGAAGTCAGCAGGATTGGCCAGGAGCCAATGGACTATTTCAGCAAAATTGAGACAACTACCTAGTTTGAACCTAAGATTTAGGAGTGTGGTGAGAGTAGCTTAGGCAAAAAAGTGCCTAATTTTATAACAACATGTTGATATTTTCAATTTTTCAAAAAATATCTAATTTTTAGCATGGGAGAGCCAGTGGGAACAAGGCATGCAACTGGAGCCCAGAATCAAGGGCAGGCTGCACAAGACTCAAAGCTCTGCTGGAGCCCTCCCATGAGGCTATCCGAGACATGAGAATGAGGCAGGAAGCTCTGGGACATGTGGAGTAATGCAGAACTCAGCATGACCGTGGGGTCCACAGAAGGGTGTGTGCCAGAGTTCCACAACCAGACACTGCTCTCATAGCTGGGATTGGGCTGGGCTTTCCCACACCAGCTCCTTTCCTCCTGATGGCATCTTGACCCACAGGAAGTTTGGAAGGTTCTTTAATCTCTCCTTCCACAAAGGAAACTACAGCAGTGAGGTTCAGGGGCTCAATCCACAAATAAAGAAAGGGGCACTGGTAGAGCCAGTTCTCCGAAAGTTATCATCACACTTGATGGTAATCAAGAGAAGGGTAAGCATAAATCCTCGGCTAGACTTCTCCTGTGTTCCTTCGGTGAGCCCTCACAAGCTGTCCTCCCTTGGGGGACCGGGGCCTTCAGTTGGTGTTCCCTGTACACATCTCCCTGACCACCCCTCCCTCTCAGGCCCAAGTTGGCACCCCTGATTCTTACATGCTGTTCATCCCTGGTATGTGCCTATGGTCTCCCAAGAGGACGGAGGCCAGCTCTATGCTACTAACTCATCAGTGGGTACTCACCACCTCAGATATCATGCTTCTTTATTTACTCTTAACAGAAAGACTGCAGGGAGCTTTGCCAAACCTCTGGGACTCCAGAGGTCCCTCCCTGTGTGATGTAGAGCATGAGGTGCAGCTTTGGTATTGGCTAGCATTGGAATAGCATTGGCTACAATTCCTCTACCCCACTCCAAGATCACAACCACCTGACTGCCACTGGGGGCCTTCTGGCCAACACACGCAGAGTACTGACTGTAAGCCACACCTATGCCAACTGGGACAAATCCAAATCGTGTCTTTCAGGCCATCTCAGGGGCACAAAGGCCAATGGATAACTGCAGCAAGGTCACAGTGGTAGTCACATGCCAGAGAGACAGACGGAGGGGCATATGTGTGTAGCGTGGAGGGCAGGAAGGTCAGTGAGGAGGTAACCTTCGAGCTGCCTCCTGAGGTGCCCACATGGATATACCCCTGTGCGGATGACGAGGAGACACAGGCCCTGCAGGTCTGTGCATGGCCATGAAGGTGAGTATGCTGAGAAAACAGGAGAACTACAGTTTGCTTTATCAGTAGAAGAATGAGAAAAGCTGAGGCTACAGAGAAAAGCAAGGGCCAGCATCAGGATGGCTTGCAAATGCTGGACTTGGTAGGAAGGGAAAGAGGAGACAAGAAAGGCTTATGGGTGGCCAGGATGAGGACAGAGTGGCATTGGACTGTGTTAGCTACATGGGGTGGCCAGCTCAGACACCATCCTTCCTCCTGCCTCCACTCACCCTTTCTGCATACCAGGGACAGGAAGCCCCATCCTGCTGGTCATATTTCAAGATCCTACGTGGATTACGTTTTCCAAGAGAAGAGCTTTTAGGGTATTCCAACATCGGGACATCCTAGTGTGGGCTCAGGATGATGAAATCTCATGCTCTGCCAGGGCCCTCTCCCACCAAAGGCAGCCAGGCAAGCTCAGCTCCCAGTACCAGGGCCTGGATAATCTCTCACTCTCTATCCTTCCATCTCTTCTGGGATGAGCGGGTGATTTCTGGACCATGGTAACATGTGCTTTCTCAGGGGAAAGGTTAAAGCTGCCCTATAGGTCACTCAGTCACAAGAGCTGAGGCTGGGGCTGGGGACCAAACCCACCACATCACGCTGGAAAGCATTCCTTTTTTGCTTTTCTGCTAGTGCCTATGCACATACTTCCCATGGGGACTCTGGGCAGGAGGATGAATGGGCTGAGGAAGGTTCAAGAATTTCCTGGGTTCCCACCACCCCACTGAGACCCTCACATAAATGAGGAGAGCAGGGTCCAGGCCATGCTGGGGTGTCTGCCTCCCCAGCTGACTGCTGGGTCACCTGCTTGGGACTCTGGCAGGAAGCAGGCATGGAACCACGTGACTTCTCCCAAACTTGGGTCCTTCTCCATCTTCTCACCACAGTTCCAGCCCCAAGGAAGATTTAAAAAAAAAAAAAAAAAAGGAGCCTCAATTGTTGGAAGGCCCTGGAATTGTTTATTTTGTAAACAAACCAATGGCAATGAATTATGTTGAACTTTTAATAAGACACACATATCATACTAGGTCTGTATATTTGCCAGCAAAAAAAAAAAAAAAAAAAAAAAGTAGGGGGAAGTACAGAAAAATGCCTTGAAGTAAAGATCACAAAAGGGGTTTCCTGTTATGAGATACGGATGCATTTCCTTGACCAAAAACAGACTGATCAAAATGCCAAATCAAAAATTATGAAAACTACAAACAGGTGACAGATTTGAACTTGCTTCCTTTGCTTCCCAGGCCCCAAGAGGCAGCCAGAGGGCCATCCAGCTCCTGTAGTTGGACACCACCAAAGGCAGGGCTGAGGGGACATCGCACTGCTGCCAGTGTTGAGTAGAAAACATTTTGGGGGTGCCTGGAATCAGCTGCAGCTTTTTGCATTGGCCTCTTTTTGTTTCACCTGAGCCTGGATGACCAAATGAAACAATTCCCCTCAACTGAGCACATTCCAGCAACGGACAAACACCACACATGGTGCAGCCAGCGAAATGTCCCATGCTGGTCTGTGGCTGGCAGAGACATAGCCATTTTCCCAGGCATCATGGGGACAGCCCTCCCTGACAGGCACAGCAGAGGCCTGGAGGTACATGCAAGAGATTGATAGTTCATCAAAATGGCAGCAACACACATTGGAGGTATGATGTGTTTCTGTTTTTGTTTCATGACAATTCTAATTCGAACAAAAATGTCAAATATCAGAACAGTCTGCCATTCCAACTGTCTGGAATGGCATCTTCCAATCCTTGCATATGCTGTTTCCTCTGATGGGAATACCCTCCCCTTACCTTTTCCACTTAGTAAACCTATTTCTTTCTTCTCAGAGCCCTCCATGTCTCCAAGAAAGCCAACCAGACCCTCCCTTGGGGTCCCTCCCTATCTCAAGTGCCCCCAGTGTACAGGTGCTCTACTTCCTTGGCTCTCTCTGTCCCACAAGGTCATGAGTTCTGATGGTGGAGCCAGTGTCTGACTTAGGTCTGGGGCCCTGCTGCTCAGTCCAGAGGGGGCACTTGGCACAACTTCTGAAACTCTCCTTTACCTGTTGTGCCTAGCAGAGAATTTATGTGTCATTTCTAGAGGCTCAATAGCTGACATTTTAAGAACACTCAGATATGATAGAACTTAATTCACTTTTCCCCTCTAAATTCCCCTTCCCAGAACAAACTTTCAGGAAGAGGCAGGTCTTCCTGTATGTACTTCAACTGTCAGCCCCTAACAGGGTCAGCAAACTCTATTCCTGGCAATCTTCAGGGCTAGGAAGGACAGATAGTCCTCCACCCTAGCCCTAGGGGACCCTATGGGAAGGAGGGATATCTGGGCCTCACCAGGTATCTGGTCTAAGGCACCCCAGTGAGGACCCCTAATGGCTCCCAACCACAATACCCCTGCAAGAGCACCAGCATGCCAGTCTACAGAAGTGCTGGCTCTGAGCTGGCTCTCTCCTCTGGATCTCTGAGGGGCCAAGGGCACAGCAGAAGGTAGGGAGCAGACTTCTCACCAAGAATAGAACAAGTGCCTCTGACTACCGTCCAAAGGGGAGAAGCAGCCACCTTTGTGTGTGAGCTTCCCTAACTTCTTTGAGTACTGCTACCACTAAAAATATTTACCATTTACAAAGCCAAGAACTGTGAAAGGCATTTTGTAAAATTTCATTTAATTCTCCCAACAACTCCACAGGGAAGATACTCCCATTACCCTTTTAGAAAAATTAACTAAGGCTCAGAAAGGTGAAGTCATTCACCCAAGGTCACAAGCCAGAAAGTGACAAAGGGCATTCTAAGGCAGCACTTTCTGACTCTGTGGCTCGGGTTATTAATGTGATCCTATAAGGGAAGTTTTTTTTTTTTTTTTTTTTTTTTTTTGAGATAGAGTCTTGCTTTGTCGCCCAGGCTGGAGTGCAGTGGCGTGATCTCAGCTCACTGCATCCTCCGCCTCCTGGGTTCAAGTGATTCTCCTGCCTCAGCCTCCCGAGTAGCTGGGACTACAGGCACATGCCACCACGCCTGGCTAATTTTTTGTATTTTTAGTAGAGATGGGGTTTCACTGTGTTAGCGAGGATGGTCTCGATCTCCTGAACTTGTGATCTACCCGCCTTGGCCTCCCAAGGGAAGTTTTTAAAGGCATTAGCAAATATAAATATCTACTAGGAGAGACAGACAGAAAATTAGCAAAAGAAGGAGAGGATGTCCTTATAGGAAGCTTTTCTACTCTGAACTGATTCTCTATGCATCCACAACTGCCTTCACCTAGGCCAACACCTGCTATCATCTGCCTATACACATTTTCAGAGTCATCATATAGGTCTGTATTTTTGCCAAAATCCATAGGCTAGACCATAAAATAATTATCAACAAACTTCAGAGGACAGAAAACATGAAATGTGTATTCTCTGACCACAGTGGAATAAGAGTATAAATTAACAACAAGTTAACTGGAAAATCCTCAAACATTTGCAAAGTAAGAAGAACACTTATAAATAACCCATGGGTCAAAGGAGAAATTCTGTAAAAATTTTTGAAATACTTTTAACCAAATGATTAAAAAATGGCACATCATTGAAATAAAGCTAAAGCAGTACTTATAGGAAAATTTATAGTTCTAAATATTATATTAGAAAAGAAGGTTGATAATTAAGGATCTCAGCTTTCATCTTAGAAGCTAAAGATCAGCAGAGTAAACCCAAAGAAAGTAGAAAAAAGGAAATAATAAAGAGGAGAAATCAATGGAATAGAAAACAAGAAACAAAAGAAAAAAAATCAACAAAGCCAAAAGCTGGTTATTTGGAAAGATTAATAAAATAAACAAACATCTAGCAAGACTGATCAAAATAAAGAGAGAAATTACAAATTAAAAATATTAGAAATAAAATGAAGATATCACTACAGATTCAAAAAACATTAAAAGATAATAAGAGTATATTACAATTAACTTTATGCCAATAAATAGACAAAAATAGGCTAATTCCTTATAGAAACACAACAAAACACACACAAGAATAAAAATCTGAATCATATATAATATACATCATATATATATTTAAATACATAATTAAAAGACTCCTCTTAAAGAAAACTATATGCCCTCATAGCTTCATTGGCGAATTATTCCAAACTTTAAAGCAAGAAGTGATACCAACTTTAAACATATTATTTCAGATAATAAAAAAAGAGCAAAAACTTCTTCTCTTTTTATGAGGCCAGAATAATGTTGATATTAAAACATGACATAGACATTATAAGAAAGGACAATTAAGAGCAATATACCTCATAAATTCAAAATGAATTAAAAAATGCTAAAATGTAAAATCAAAATCCAGCAATATATAAAAAGAATAATATTTCATAACAAAATAGGATTAACCCTAGGAATGTAAAGTGGGTCTGACATTCAAAAATCAATATATGTAACTTACTTAACAATATATGTAACCTACTTAGCAATAAGTGTAACTTAATTAACAGAATAAAGGAGAAAAACTATATAATAATTTAATAGAAGCAGAACAAGCATTTCAAAAAAATTCAACACCCATTTATGATAAAAGCTTTCAGCAAATCAGAAACAGAAAGGAACTTCTTGAATCTGATAAACGATATGCACAAAAAATCCACAGCTAACATATTTAATAGTGAAATAGTATAAACATTTTGCCCCTAACATCAGCAACAAGGTAAAGATATCTGTTCTCACCACTTATGTTGAACATTGTACTGTACTTCCTGGCAAGTGAATTAAAGCTAGGGGGAAAAAAGGCAAAAAGTGTAGAAAGGAATTATTTCCAGATATCATAACTGTTTGCAAAGAAAGTACTCAGAAATTCACAAAATAACTACTAAATCTAGTGAGAAATTTTAGCAAGGATCTAGTGAGCAATTTAGCAGGAAAAGATTTTGCAGCATATATGTCTTAAGTCCACTTTGTGCTGCTATAACAGAATACTTGAGACTGGGTAATTTATAATGAGCAGAAATTTATTGCCTCACAACTCTGGAGGCTGAGAATTCCAATATCAAGGTGCTGGCATCTTGCAAGGGCCTTCTTGCTGTGTCAGAACCTAGCAGAAGGCTTCAAGTGGCATAAGGGCAAAGAAAAGGTGAGAGAAAGAGCAAGAAAGGGATAACAGTATTAGTCTATTCATGAGGGTGGAGCCCTCAAGACCTAAACATCTCTTAAAGGTTGTACCTCTTAATATTGTTACAATGGCAACTAAATTTAAACATGAGTTTTGAAAGGGACAAACATTCAAACCATAGACAGCAACATGTGCTCAAAATATATAAATCAATTGTATTTCTATATACTAGCAGTAAATAATTGGAAAATAAAAAATATTTTCAACAGTGTCAAATAATAAAATATATAGCCTGGATGACAGAGCAAGCCTGTCTCAAAAAAGTAAAAAAAAAATACTTAGAAATACCTAGAAATAGGTTTATAAAAGAAGTATAAAACTGCACTTAAAATTATAAAACAGGCCGGGCACGGTGGTTCATGCCTGTAATCCCAGCACTTTGGGAGGCTGAGGTGGGTGGATCACTTGAGGTCGGGAGTTCGAGACCAGCCATGGCCAATATGGCGAAACCCCATCTCTACTAAAAATAAAAATAAAAAAAAGCCAGGTATGGTGGTGGGCACCTGTAATCCCGCTTCTTGGGAGGCTGAGGCAAGAGAATTGCTTAAACCTGGGAGGTACAGGTTGCAGTGAGCCGAGGTTGCACCATTGCACTCCAGCCTGGGCAACAGAGTGCAACTCTGTCAAAAAACAAACAAACAAACAAAACAACCCCAAAAAACGATAAAACATTACTGAGAAAAACTAAAGACCTATATCAATAGGAAGATATACCATGTTCATGGATTGAAATACTCAATACTGATATCAATTGTTCCCAGTTGTGATCTACAGATTCCATGCAATGCCAACCAAATTCCAATACTTAAAAAAAAAAAAAAGTTGACTTGGAAATCTATATAGATGCAAAGGACCTAGAAGAGCTGAAACAAAAGAACAAAGTTGAAAGATTCATATTACCTCATTTCAAAATTATAAAACTACAGCAATCAAGATAGCATGAGAAGACAATAAACGTAAACAGAGCACTGGCACAGAAGTAGACCCACACATATTCAGTCACTTGATTTTTTTTAAGAGATGCCAAGGCAATTCAAAGGGGAAAGACAAATTTTTTTCAATAAGTAGTGCTGAAACAATGCATACATATATGAGGAAAAAAAAAACCTTCAATCCTTTCTTCACACCATACAAAAAAATTAATTTGGAATTGAACACAGACCTAAACATAAAAGCTAAAACTTTAAAGCTTCCAGAAGAAAACATTAGAGACTATCTTCACAATTCTGGGATAGGCAAAGGCAAAGATCTCCTAGAGAGGACACAAAAGGCATAAGCCATAAAAGAAAAAATAATAAATTGAAGTTCACCAAAATTAAAAGCCTTCAAAAGACACCATTAACAAAATGAAAAGGCAATTTATAGACCGGGAGAAATCATCTAAGTATGTGTTATCTGACAAAGGACATGTGCCCTAAATATATAAGAACTCTTACAAATCAACAATAAGACAAACAACCTAATATAAAAATGTGTAAAAGAATTTAGCAGTCATTTCACAAAAGAAGATTATGGGATGGCCAATCCACACATTAAAAGGTGAGCAACATATTTCCATTCTACCATATTGGTGGCCCCCACAGCAATGAGACAGATGTCTGCCACTCTGCCTAAAGGAAAACCCTCAAACATGACAGCAAGCCTCTGCAGAAAGATGGCTGGAAGGGCGGTGCAGAGAAGTGAGCAAAGGTCCCAAAGGTAGCACAAAGGCAGGATCCAGGCTGCAGACATGTTTTGTTTGACCCATACTGTGTGACAAAAAAACTCAAGCCTATATTTTAAAATGGGACATTTCACTTGAAAATCCAGATTTCCAGCTTCTCCTTAAAAATGACAAAATCTAGGTATTCCAGTTTTGCATTCCCATGCACAGTTGAGATGAGTGGTGGGTCTTCAGTGTGCCCAGGTCTACTCACACAGTGTAAAGAAGTACAGTTCTTCCCATGTGCTGCTTCCCTCCATCTGCCTCCTGCCAGGCCCTAAAAGGCACCTGAATTTGTGATATGGCTCTAGAGCCTGCATCTTGGCAAGAGTCTGGAAGGTACTGAGAATGTGCAGGATGCAGAAAGAAAGGCATGAGACATAGTGGTGGCCTCCAGGTCTTGGTAAACTGGTTCCTATAAAGCGGGAGTGGGGAACCTATATTTGGAACTGTCCCAGGAATCAGCATTTAGGCCACTGGGGAGAAGTTCCACAGAGCTGAGTGGTGGTGTCGCTCTGTATTAGCAGTATTTCTCAGAGGGGCCCAACTGGCTAAGGCACAGCTGCCTCAGGTGGGAAAATGTGCAGACATGAATTGAAAAGCGTGTTCCCTATGCTGGGCGAGGAAGCTGGTACATATCCCTGTAGCTCCTTAGCAGTGCCAGACTCTGATCAGAGATAGCGATACTCTAACTTCTGCAGAACATTACTCCAACTGCAAAGGCCACCATTTCAAGGACAATCACAATAACCTCTGAAAAGCCCTATACCTCCAGGCACCAACGGACCCATGAGGAGCTGCAAATGTTTTCAAATAGGAAATGCCTTGACCAAAAATAACTTCACTGAAACTGGAAAATGCCTGTGCTGTCTTCACTGGCCCAGTCCAATAGCACAGGCCTTTGGTTCTGGCATCCAAGTTATTCTTCTTAAAGGAATACCACTTAAACTACAGTGATGGGGCAAGACATTTCCATCTGGAGACTTCTGATGGTTAAGTCAACATGTTCACCTGCAAAGTATAAAGTATAGGTCCTCTACTCCAACCAATGTACTGGCAGCTTGCTGTATCCTAGGAGAACTCCCTGAAGTCAATGGCCACAGTGAGCCCCAAATCTCAGGGCCCAGGGTGCACATTTGTTCAACAAGGGATTCCTGACTCCTGCTCTGGGCCTGGCCCTATCTTGGGGTCCCAGAGACAAGTCACAACAAGGAAAACCCCACTCAACAGACCCTGATTTGCAGATCACTGGTAAAGAAAGGCAGGAACTCAGGCTTTTGCTGTGGCACATACGACTTATATGTGGATTTATATATTCTTTATTCTTCTGGTCTAGAATACAGTGAAAAGGACACTGGAAGTGGAGTAAGGAGACCTAAACTCAAGTTCCCATTTGTCAACTCTATGACCTTGACCAAAACACATCATCCCTCAGAGCCGAGTTTTGTCTGCCAAAGCCATCTCCTAGGGATCCTGTGAAAACCAAAATCGCTTACTTGAAATAACTGAAAAAAGCACCTGTGCCAAACATTTACACTTTAAAAGAAGAAATACAGAAGTCAAGCAAGAGACTAGATGCAGCAGAAGTGTTCGTCACTGGAAGACCAGTACAAATGAATGATGGCGTACCTGTATTATCACTAATGCAGCAGTGAAAAAGAAAGAAAGGCAGGTCTATCTGTTCTCATACCAGAGTATCTTCAAAGACAGAGTTTTTTGGGGGGGGCGGGGGGAAACAAGGTACAAAACAATGTGTATACTATGTTATCATTAATATACAGGAAAAAAGGAGATAACGATATACATGAATATGCTTGAATGCACATAGACTATTTCTAGAAAGAAACCAGAAATGGTAATAGGGTAGGAACTATACATCTTTTACATAGTTTGAATTTTTTTTCCCCTATCTTGAGAATCCATTACCTATTTTTTTAACAATTAAAAATTTAAGTTAAAGATAAATGCTGTAGTTATTGCATCCCCAACTGATGGTAACCCAAGGGGAACCCTATTCTTACCGGCACTTTGATGTCTCTGGCCTATGGGCTTTCCCAAAGAGCAAGTCTCCCAGTCTAACTCCAGGAGACTCAGTCTCTGGGGTTTTCTCAAACTACAGCTCATCACATCACCACCTCATTCTTTCCTCCTTTTGTCTACAGCTAGCCTTGCTTTGCATATTTAGAATCCAGTGCATGTTGAGGCCTTAAGGAAGCCAAGGCTAGTAGGAAGAAAAGTGTAGCTGTTAAATGATTTCCATCCCCTCCCCAGCCTCCTCACTCTCTCCCATTTAGTACAGTTTGTCATGCTGGGACTCCACTTCCCAGGGCCCCCAGATTCCATTCTTGATCTCATTCCTTCCTCCCCCCATGGCTGCACAAGCCCGCCTGCCCCCTTGGAGCTGCATCACTGTGAGTTCTCTCTGAGCTCATCTCCACCTCAGCCTGACAGCAGGAAGGGCTTCACGCTTCAAGACAAAGGGGGACATTTCACCACTTTATTTGCCAAATTGGCCCTCAGGGTTCACTCTTCCAAATAATCTGTCTGAACACCAACATTCTTGCTTCCATAGATCAGGGGCTCAGGGACCTGTGGACAACCACAGTAAAAAACCACCCTTGTTCACAGGCTTCACAATCTTGTGTCAGTGGTAAGGGTGAACTGTGATGGAACAAATAAGTGAGTGAATGCTGGTGACAGGAGCCAAACATCATACTGTTGGAGGGAGGTCACAGACAAGCAAGGAGGCAAGCCTAGAATGAGCCATGTGTACTTGATTAGAGTCAGAGACAGAGCATGAGCTCATGTTCAGCTTGATGTAAATGCAGATAGGTAGATGCCTCTGTATCTATAATGGTAGATATGCACATATGGGTTGCTATATATACATTTCTTTCCTAGCTCTATCTGCTAAAAGGACCTAGAAGCAATGATGCCCCAGCAGCAAGGAGCACACACCCTGTCTCTAATACCATTCTCCTATAGAAGGTGTCAGGCTCCTTGGAGAAGTAGCTGATTCCAGGTCTGGGGCAGGAAACAGGATGAGCCTGGAACACCTTATAGTGCCAGAAAGTGCTCAGAAAACAAAAGGATGGGCCATGTCAAGAGGACACAGGAGCTGGCCTCATAGAGCTCCATGGTCAAGGCTGGAACCATTTGAGCAGCAAAATAATGTAGCATTGGATTATAACCCAAAGTATAAAATACATATCCAAAGTCTAGCCTGATAAAAATACATAACTGAGTTAATAAACTGGGAGAAGAGACAAGTCTCCTGTAAGGAAGAATTCCAAATAATTACATAGATACTCCTTTCTCAAGGAGGTAGAGTTTAACTCCCTCCTGCTTCCCGCCTGGATCAAGCTCTGTGTGCAAGGAGACTCCAGTGAGGGAGGGGTAGTGGAGACAGACACTGAATAGATGACCAGTATGTGTGCCAGAGCCACAAAGGGAAGGGTGCAAAATGCTCTGGGAATGTCCCTCATGAACTATAGTCAAGTCATGTAATAGGACCCCATACAGCAGTAAAAATTCATGAACTGAGACTGTACATATCAGCAAAGAGAAACCTGAAAATCATAGTGCTGAATGCGAAGAGCAAGCTTGGCATAGGGTACACACAGAGCGTCACCATTTATCTACAAGACAGAGCAAACAATGCTGTACACACATGCATGACTACAAACCCATGTGGGAGATGTACTTATATCAAATTCCAGATAGAAAAAATATAACTAGCAGAGCAAACTCATGAGTTCACAGATATTATCAAGTTCTCTTTTCACATAAATTTGAAAATGTTTTAAAGAATGATGGTTAAACGCCTAAGGTGAAGCACACACAGCACAGGTAAAGCACAAGAATGCAGCGTAGACATGGGGATGGCTGTGAAGGGGCAGGGAGTGGCAGGGTGCTGGCGGCTCCAGGAACGTGGGACTGGCCTGACGCTGGACAGGAATGGGCTAAGGGAGCGTGGGCGAGGGGAGCTGGGTTGGTGTCCATGATGGCTGTGCGAGGGAGGAAACCATGGCTAAATTTTTGAAAACAACTACAGATTGGGGATCAGTAGGGAAGCACAAGAGGGTAGACCCAAACACAGAGGATCCTGCAGGCTGGACAGAGGAAGTGGACATGCTACAGGTGGTGAGGAGGAGGGGACACGGCAGTGCTCCAGCCCTGGCCCTCCTCACTCCCCTCTACCTCTCAGGCCCAGCCATCTCTTTCACAGGCCTGTCCCTGCTGCCCAGCCATTATGTGCTACAGTTCTCCAAAAGCAAGGCCTTCTCCCAAGCTGATTTCTCCAGCCCCACAGTGTGAGCACCCAGGGGGACACTCTCGACTCTGGCTCTGACAGCACTGGGCTTTCCACCCCATGCCTCCCAGGCTCTGCAGCACCATAGCTCCCACGCCAGAGGCACCTTCTTCCCCACACATGGTTTTCTGCATCCACAGCACCATCACCCATCTCATCATGTGAGCCAGAAACCCAGAAGTACCCATGACCCCACCTCTTCATCTTGCCCCGTGCTCAAGGCATCATGAAGACTTGAGGCACCCTAGGTACCTCTTAAGCCCAGCCTGTTCTCTCCCACTCTCCCAACACCTCCCTAGACCAAGCCGTCATCAACCCTCACCTGGACCCAGCCAGCTTTCCACACCCACTCTGGACCCCTCCAACCAGACTCCCACCTGGCCAGGGGTCCTTATTCCCTACCCTCTTCCCCTGCTTAAAATCCTTCAGTGGCTTCTCCTTACATATTGCATTAAAAAAAAAAAAACGTTAAAGCATGCTGGTTAAACGCTTAAGGTTAAGCACACATAGCTCAGGTAAAGCACAGGAGTGCAGTGCAGACATGGGAACAGCCGTGTAGACATGGGGGAGTGGCAGGGTGGTGGCGGCTCCAGGAGCCTCCCCTATGACATGTACAGTCTTAGTTCATGAATTTGTACAGCTATATGGGGTCCTATCAAATGACTCGACTATAGTCCATGATGGACATTCCCAGAGGATTTTGTACCCTTCCCTTTGTGGCTTTTGCACATACCCTGGTCATTTGTTTAGTGTCTCTCAGGGGAAAGGCAAGTGGGCAGAGGCTTTCCCCTCATCAGGTAACCCTGAGTGCCCAAAAGCCTGCTCCGACCCTCTGCTTGCATCTTAGCCTCTCTGAGGCTCCAGTAACTGAGGAAGGAGCCTTGGTGGCCTGCACAGTGCCAGAAGCCCCATCCCCCACCCCCAACCCCCAGCACTGGGCAGGCCCCCAAGGCCCTCCAGCTTGCATGAAGTCATTTAGTGGAGAAGCAAACAGATCATGCATTTCTATAGCTCCAATCCTATAAAATCAACTGGTTCATCAAGACAAGCTTTAGTCGTCAAGAAAAGATGGAATTATATGCAGTATTCTAGGAAGAATTGTGTAGTTCAAGGAAAGGCGGGAGTATGAAATACGTTTTAGAAAGATTCCCAAACTCAGATAAAACATAATTACTTTGGGCTTTACAGTCAGCTTCATGACTATAGGATCTTCATTATTGAAAGAGGAGAGACATTCAGGTTGTGTGGGGGGTGGAGGGCTGGAGGTGCCACAGCAGCACGGTGGTATGACTCTGCCAAGGCTCATGCCATGGTGTAGCCGTGTATGTTACTCACAGGAACTGCTGGAGGGAGGCTGATACATGGCAGCACCCGTGCTCTCCAGCAAATGGGGAAGGGTACATGTACCTCCTTCTTAGTAGTGTTGAAGTTTTAAGGAGAAGTATGTATCATTTTTAAAATCTGAAGATAATGTTAAGATGTTGGATCTCCCTCTCCCATTTGGGCGGGTGCTGATTTAGCTTCCCCCAGTTCCCCAGTGTGGATGCCTTTGTTGGTCTAAGACTGGAAACAAAACAGGGGTTCTTCCTGCAGGCCAGGGGTGAGGGCAGCCTCACACAAATGTCACCAGCCACAAGGACACCCAGTTCTGCCAAGGTGTGGACTGCTCTATGAGCCAGCAGAGCTGGGGCTTGCACCTGACAGGACATTAACGGTGACACTTGACTCCTAGGGGAGACAGTGCTTGAGTGTCTATACCAATTCGGCCCCAGGACAAGGCTAGATCTCAGCACTTGTGCAGCATTGCTGGGCAGGAGGAACTGGAAGGAAGCACAGAGGCCAGTCTGGAGCTGCCTAGGGTTCCACAAGACGTGGGCTGCCTGGAGGGTAGAGCCACACAGAACAAAGTAAGTGCATGGAAGGAGACAGTACTGACAGCTTCCAAGCCCCACACTACCATACTTGGAGCACAAGTACCCTGACTTTTCACTTGTGGAAGCAAGTAAATTTCCTTTCCTTCCTTATGCTCATCTGAGTTGGTTACTATCACTAATAATAATCAAACGAACGAACATAGCCACCCCTCTGGACACAGTGTCCTCCCTTCAATGAGACCTGGAGCTGAATCAGTATCCTCAAGCTTTCTGCTGGGCTGTCCTGGGATGGGAAAGAGGACGAGCCTTAACCGCCTAGTCCCTCTGTGTGTTTCCAGGTGCCACAGGGCCCCAAAGGGGCAAGGGAGCAAGGCCCAAAGCCAGTGCCTGAAAGGGCTCCTCTGAGCAGCCTGCTTATACACAGCAGGTCCTGATGGGGAGAAAGAGCTGTGTTTTCAGAAGAAATCCACTGCAGGCCTCCTGGCAGGAAGCACCCAACCGTGTTCCCAAGAAAAGGCTACTCACTTAAAAGGGAGGCACAGTTGTAGGGAGCCCAGCGCTCTAGTCCCTCACTCTGGCTGACTTCCGGCCAGCCCTGCTTGCTTCCCGAAGGCCGTCAGCCACAGCCTGGCACAAAGCCTGTGAAGTCGGGAGATCAGTCACAGAGAAGGAAGCCAGGCCAGAGCAGGGAAGGATGACAGGCAACCAGCGGCAGAGCCAGCCTAACCCCAAGGTACTCAGACTCACCAGGTTGCCTCTCCCAGGAGGTAACAGTCCCTAGATTTTCCCCACCTGAAGTCTGTCAGTGCTGGCACCTAGATGATGAAAATCTTCACATACCAAGTCCCCGGTGAAATGGGCAGCTTCCCCAGTCCCCCTTCCTAAGCTGTGTACACTCTAGGGCTCACGATGAGATGCCTGCCACATATTCTGCATGTGCGCGTGTGCACATGTGCACGTGTCCTGGCAAGCAGCTCCAGTGCGTGTCAACATGTGGGTCTGCTTTCAATTGCGCTGGAACAATTCTACCTGATAAACAAAAACAGATCCAAAATAACCTTTGGCAAGCAGCATATTTTTAAAAGAAAGAGAAGGTCCGAATGAACTGGCAAGAGCAATGCTTAAGCAAACAAATTTGGTCAAGCCAAACATCCATGGTGCACATCAAAAAGCCCCTCAAAGGGCTCCCTGTGAACCGAGGCCGGCAGCAGGGAAGGAGGCTGGAGCTGATGCACTCCTGGCTTGGAAGAGACCAGCCACCCACTTCCCACCACCAGTGGCTGGCATTTCATGTGGGTCACAGGGTTAGACCAAGTCGGGGTCAGGAGGTGAGAACTCTGCTCACAGCAGGGGAAGACAGAGGCCCAGTCCAGGCACCCTTGCTCCAGGTAGCCCCTCCTCTGGGCCCTGGTGGGCAGGTAACTGTAAGGGCACGTGGGGAGCACGGGACCTGTGGGAGAGTCTCAGAGCTCCCACTTGGTGAAGCAGCCAAGTTCCCAAGGCAGGCTGGACAGCCTCAGCTTCTCCTGTCAGAAATCCATTCAGGCTCCAGAGCCAAAGCAGGATCAGGTCTGCAACTGCCTGCTCAGATCCCACGACCACCACTAACTCAGGGGAACGCCCCAGCTTCCCACACACTGTCAACTACAAAACAGCTGAGAACCGGAGAGTGCAAGTCGCCAGGCCCCCATCAGCCATAAGGCTCAAAACCCCCGCACAGGGCCCAGAGGAGGACCCCTGAGTGCCTGCCTCAGAGGTTCCTCCCCTATCTGTCCTTAGGACATGCTTGAACCAGCCAGGCCCTGGAGTGGATCCCAGAGGTGGCATGCTGGTTCTGTCCTCCCTGGTCCATCCAGGAAGACAGTGAGACCCAGCCAAACCCCATCCTGGTGAAACTCTCCAGGAACTTCCTGGAGCCAGGCCCAAACCCCTTACTGCCTGGCGTTTTGGGATTCTAGAACCTCCAAGAGGCTGGTATCTTCATGTCTCACATCCTCATCCACCCCATCCCCAACTTACCCATGCTACCTCTGCATACAAAGTCAAGTTTCTGGAACATACTCTTACTAGAAGTGGGCTGGAGGCTGCCACACCACATCAGGCCCCTTCTCTCTCAAGACCCCAAATCTCAGCTAAAATGGAAGTGACCCTGGAGGGGCTGCAATCACTCCTAGGGACCCCAGAGCAGCTGCATGCAGAAAGCTGGGCCATGGAGGAGCCAAATTAGGGGCCAGCTCCAGGGATGTTATAAACCATTGCTGCTCACAGGACAGGCACAGAAGTATGCTCAGAAGGAGGGTCCGATCCACATTTAAAATATGTGACTTAACTTCTCTGGACCTTGGATTCCCCTCACCTGTTAAAGGGAAGAAGCTCCTGCTATGGTGCTGCGGGGAGAGCAGGCTTTCCATGGACAGGAAATTATCACTGTCACCACCTGCAGAGACCTGTTTGCCTAGGCTGAAGCGGAGGGGGTAATGAAAGAGTCAGCAAAGATGGCAGCTGCTGTGAAAGGGACGAAAGTATTTGTATATGATAATGTGCAGGCAGCCTGGGACAGCAGGGAAGGTCACCAAACAATGCGGCCTCAGCCTCAGGCTGCATCTCCGAGGAGGGGAGTGTGGAGGGGAAAAAAAACAGTGAGTAGGAGAAAAAGGGCTGAAAACTTCAGAGAAATGAGCAGAAACAGCTGGGAGGGGAATCATGCAGGGCGGCTAGTGAAGGAGAAGGGGGTGAGGGTTGGTGCCCAGAGCTTCCCCAATAAAGTAGAGGCTGCCGCTTGCTGTGCGAGCCCCAGCTTGAGGGCCCAGAGGGAAGACCGTACAGAGGCAAGGAGGGCACTGCCATGTGGAGGGCAAATGCCAACTGGTGCCAGGGAGCTCCTGGAGGGCTCAGGGAGGACAGGGAAGCCCAGTAGTGGCATCCATGCACAGGGGCCAGGAGGAGGGGCCCATTCCAGCTTTCTGAAAAGGAGGTGGCCCTCAGCAGAACAGTGCCAGGCCAGACCCCTGGGCTCCCTACACAGAGGCCTCCCCAGCAGAGAACGGACTTTCCAGGCCAAAGCCGAGTGAGGGCACAAGGGAGGTGAGAGAGAACAGGGAAGGACAGAACAAAAGTTGCTCTTTTTCCAGTTCTTTATATTTTTTCTTTCATAAAAGCCACACAAGAAACAGATGAATACCAGCTCGTTGTAAAAGATTTAAACACCAATTAAATAGACTGAAACATGAAAGCTCTCTTTCAGCCCTCTAAATTCCACTTTCCCTCACTCCTCCAAGATGCAGCCACTGTTCTCAGTTTGCTGTCTCCTTCCAGATTTTTTGATGCATTTGTATACAAACATATGCAGACAGTTTTCCTACATAATGGGACCAAATCATACATATTGAGATTTGGTTTTGCAATTAGCATTTTATTTATTCACAGGACATTTATTAAGGGCCCAGGAACATGACTGACAAAAGTCTCTGTCCTCGCGGATCTGATGATTCTAATGGTGGTCTTTCCACATAGATCTGCACCATCGTGTTCGATGGGCACGTGGTATCGCACGGTTTAGAGAACCAGACCCACCGCTGGACACTGAGCTCGTGTGCACTGACTCTTGGTATAAGAACAGTGTGGTAAACACCCGTGCCATGTTCCCTTGGGCAACTGCATGTTGAATAGGCAGAGAAGGCTGGCATAGGAATTAGTCCCCCCAGGAAGCCAGTCAGGGGCAGGCTGCACACCTCCCACTTAAAACCACAGAAACTGAATGGGGGCCATGCCTGGGAGCAGGGGGACAGGGAATGTGTGGAGCAACACCAATCCTGGACCCTGGCTCCTACTGGCATACAACTCTGGGTAGGTCTCGTCTCCCCTCTGACCCTATGGCTGCCTGCTTCATGGGAAAACGACCCCCACATGCTCAGCCCCAGGCAGCACTCCAAACATGGATGTGGTGTGTCTGGGGCAGGGCCCCTGAAGGGTGCAGGCCCATCAGAGTCCAGGCAGGCCCAGCAGCTGAGGGGGCCGCCTGTTCTAGGCCACTGGTTCTCCGCCAGGGATAATTTCCCCCCAGGAGGCATTTAGAATGTCTGCAGACACTTGTGGTCATCACAGCTGGGAGAGGGTGCTATTGGCATCTAGTGGGTAGAGGCCAGGGATGCTGCTAGACATCTACAGTGCCCAGGACAGAGGATTATTGGCTGAAACATCAATGTGCTGAGGTGAAGGAGCCCTGCTTGTAGTTCAGCACTGGAAGGGTTAAGTGGCCGCACAGCCCGAGCTGCCTTCCTGCCTGTCTGCACCCCTGCCCGCAGTAAGGGCTGTACTAAGCTGGGCGGGAGATGGCCGCCACTGCCCAACGCCGCCGCCGTATGGTTCACATTAGCTGCGCTCTGCTTGGCAGCGTTCCCTCTGGCGGCCGGCCTTCCCTCCCTGCCCCACCATTCTCCTCCCCAACTCAAAGGAAAATACCAGGATCCACACAGAAAACCAGCTCACTCCCCTCCTGTCTTTTAGCCTAGTTTTGAATCAAACAAGCTCTTAAACTCCTGACCTTCCGCCCAGTCACCCTGGTTTGTTTCGCAGCAGCAGCTGCCACAGCAGCAGCATTGGAGGCTGCAAGGGGGTGGGCAGGGGCCTGCCCTCTCTATTACCTGGAGATTTTGCAGACTGGCACTAGCACCATGCAGGCTGGGCAGCTTCTCCCAGAGTGTCCCTAGAAATACCCTCCCCTGCACCCTAATATGCCAAAGCTGGAGCCACTCAGACCCTTTCACAACTAGGAAGGCTCCCCCACCATGAACAAGAAGAGGGTTGGGAGCCTTTAAAGCATCGGAATTATAACTTTAGATGAAACAGCTGAAGCTTGCTTTTTAACTTTTCTTTTCTAGCCAGAGGCCCCAACTACCAAGGTTGGAGCCACCAACAGCACATAAATATATGTCCTATCCCAAACTTCTCTGAGCTTCAGACACTTATGTCAGCTTGCTTCCTAGACCTTTCCAAGTGGGTTCCCCAAACGTCCCCAACTTAGTGAAGCCCAAGCCATACTCCTGGCTCTGTTCACTCTCCCCTCCAGATTGTTCTGGATTCTCTCTCACCAACGGCTCCTCCACCTGGCCTGTCACTGAAGCCAGAGATCTGGGGTCCATCGGTAATATGCCTCTCCCCTTCACTGTCCCTATATCTAGTCCATCACAAAGCCTTGTTAATTCCATCTCCTGAATGCCTTTAATGCCCATTGGATTGCTGCCAGCTTGATCCAAGCCACCTCAATCTGCCTGGACTATGGCAACAGCCTCCCCACTAGTCCCCAGAAAGGTCCTGGCTCCCCTCAAATCTGTTCTCCAAACCATCTGTCTTTCCCTCAAACACACAAATAAATTGCACACACACTACATCACCCACCCTGCAAAACCAGCTGCGTCATAAGAATAGACAGAACTTGAACTGGCCTTGCATGGTCTGGTGCCACTTACCTCTACAGCACCTCTCACCCCACATTTGTCTCTGGGCTCCAGTCCAGATGCCAAATGCCTTCCTTTTAGGTTTTCAAACACATTAGGCTCTCTCCCACCATGGGGCCTTTGCATTTGCCCAGAATCCTCTCTACCCACACCTTGCTCATCTTCTCCTAGTAAGTCTTCCTCCTCCTTCGGACCTGAGAAGCCTCCCCTGACTTCAGCCCAGGTTGGTTCCCTTGCTATCTGCCCTCAGAGAACTCTCCCCTGTCCTGGGAAGGCCCCATCTCAGGCCATATGTGCACATGTGCTCACGTGCAGAGCTGTCTGCCAGGCAGTAAGTCCAGCAGGTAGGCAAATGCGAGCACACAAATCGGGATTCACCCTAATCTACACATCCACAATGGATAGCTTCACAAACACCACAGCTGACAGCAAGCTAAGGTAGCTATGCTGCCCCAGGAGGGCAGGGGAGCCACAGCTGTCACTCACAGACAGCTCTGGCTGGCTCACTCTGTGAATCAATCACCCTCATCTAGAATCATCTCATTTAAATACTTTTAAAACACGCACACAAAAACAAAAACAAAAACAAAAAACACCCAAACTTTGAAAGGCTGGAATTTATTTATAAACAAGAACATGTTATAATGAAGCATTTTAGCAAAACTTCAAAGAAAAGCAGGCAAGTGCCTTTTTTAAATAAGGCATCTCATTGGCCCTTTCCCCATGATGATTACAAGTTGACACCTGTGAATAATTAAAGCAAGGTTTATGGTATTTTATTATTGTTTTATTTCTTAAAAGAAAGAATTATAAATACTCAGTTTAAGTAGTACATTGGCTTTACGCACACTCAGGAAACACTCAACTTTCCTTTAAAACAAACAAGAAAGTCCCAGCAGAGCCCCAGAGTGATGCCAGGGCAGTGAGGGGCCCGACACAGACTGCAGGTGTGGTCTGCCCTCCCTGAGGTGCCAGGCCAGAGGGTGAGAGGGGGCAGGCAGAGCCGCTCTGCCCAGAAGGGTCTGCTTCCTCAAGAAGAGGTTGGGAGGCCAGGCTCCCCAGTACTTGCTGTGCTTAGCCTGGATGCATGCCCTGGCCTCCAGCCCTGCTGACCTCCTGCCTGTCCCACAGCGTCTCCCCTTCCCTCCTGGTGGCAGAATGTGCCCAGCATTCCCACACTCTTCTCCCAGGCCTCTGAATGGCTGTACCCCTTCATTGCTCAAGATATTCATATCTCCACCTCCAAGAGAGCTCTCTTGGCCTACAGAACCCCTCCCATTCTCAATCGCCTCACTGTAAGGTAAATAAGGTGATTTACCAACTCATACCCCTACTGGTAGAAGGTGAACTGTAAGAACAGAAATGGGACCTGCCTTACTCACCCTCTACTCCTATGACCTAGCCTAGCATCTGGCTCATAGTAGGTGCTCAAGACTATGCGCTGAATGAATATGTTGGACACTGATGTAAAATCATTATTTTCTTTTCCTTCCCACAGTAACTCTACAAAGCAGGCTCTGTTATTAACATTTCCATGTTTTGCGGATAAGGAAGCTGAGGCTCAGAGAGGTTAAGTCACCCAGGCTGCACAGTATGTGACAAATCAGGGGCAGGACGTGAGCCAGGTTTGTCTAACTTCAGAGTCCAACCTCTGGCCCATGGTTTCCTCAAACTGCCAATAAAGGGAGTCCCTTTGGATGATTTGATGGTCACAAATGTTAATTCCTTGGTTCCTGCTGACTGGAATTCAGGGACCCGGGGTGGACCAAGAATGTTTAACAAGAATCTCAAGCAACCCGCCCTAACCCCCAGCTGAGTGTGAGAAATAATGAATTAGACCCTGCTAGGCAGCCCTGACTTCCACTGTCAAGGGCAGAGGCTGCCTACAGGATTTATTCCCACCCTGTGCAGGAGGCTGATCCTGGGACTGAGCCCAGGAGGGTGAGGAGGGCCAAGAAGGGGCCTGGGGAAAAGCTGGAGTGAAAGCACAGGGTCCTGGGACTTACAGGCTGGCAGGGCATGAGGGGGCGGAGTGGGGAGCAGCGGCACCCAGGAGCCTCGAGACCCTGTGGGCCCCTGGAGGGGCTCTCTTGCCTGATTCCAGGGTGCAGCTGTGCTTCCCCATCACAAGGCGTGGCCTACAGGACCCGACTCCAGCTGGAACATCTTCTAGACTCGGCCTTCCAAACATCCTCCCTACTGCCCTTTCAGAGATGACCACAACCACCTACGAACCACCCCACTTCTCAGACTCTCTGCAAGGAGCTCCATGTTTACCTCAGTCATGCCAGACACTCTCTCGCCTCTGGGCTTTAGCACATACTGTTCCTTCTGCTCAGAATGCCTGGGCAAAGCCCTCTGCCTTCTCTGAGACTCAGCTTCAGTCGCCTTGCCTGGGAAGCAGGGTTGGAGCCCTTCCAGTGCCCCCACCACACTCTGGAAGCCATGTTCACTCAGTGCCTTCCCCATATGAAGAAACAGCTGCCTGCCTGACCACCCCAGCCCCACTGAGGGCTCCCCCAGGGCCAGCTTGGGCTCTGATACCTGTCAGGGACTCCAGTCCCCGACATGACACGCATCAACAGTATCTGGAAAGGTTGTGGGCAGGGCTGGCTTCATGGGTGTGCAAGCTGAGGTCACACAGCCCTGCATGGCCACACTTTCATCTGAATCAGAGCTTGCTTCCAACCTAGAAAGGCAGTGGTCTTCAGACAGTCAAAGATCAGATACTCCTTTGTGGACCAGGCAGCACCCATGCTTGCATTGGGCACAACCTGGCACTGTCAATTGCCATTTACACAGCATTTTCTGCACCAAGGCCACTCCCAGCTGGGGCTCTGACACTGGCTGGGCACCCATTTCCCAGGAGAGGAAACCGCTTTGGGCCCCAGTATCGAGGTCCTGCCAGTCCTCAGGTCACTGCTAGACCCCTCGATGACATGCGCATCCTATTCCAAAGGCACCGCAGCCCACAGCTAGAGGGAGGAAATGACTGCACCCCCAGAGGCCTACAGGCATACAAGTTTCGGTAAGCCCAGCAAGCCCGCATCCATCTCACCCCTTGCTTCTGCATCTGACAATTCCACTGGCCTGAGTCACAGTTTCCCCTTGAAACTTAACTGACCACTGAAGGTAAACAAGATTGTGAAAGCAAATGGCCCTTGGGAAGAACCATTCCCACCTGAAGGCTGTTCTTACTTATTTAAGAAGGTGGCCTGGCCATACAGAGGGGCGTGTCTTGCCCCAGTCACACAGCTGGCCGTTTATGCCTGGGACCCAAGACTCTGTGTTCCTGCAGGGCACAGTGGATGGGAACCAGCCCTGGCATTCCATAAATGTTGTTTCTAATCAAATCCCTATCTTGTCCTAGAAACAATAAAACTCATTTAATTCCACCCAAAAGCACGTATAAGTTAGAGTGGTTTTCATACGACAACTTGTAGGGTGCTACAGCTGCCCTGGGAGTGTCCCAAGGCCACCCTGGGCCAGGGCCCACACCGACCTAGGCTCCCTCAACATGTGGCTTCTACAGGGGATGTCCAGAGGCCAGCCACACTCCCTACCCGCGCCACATTTGGCACCTCCACATCTGCTCCCCCAGCAACCACTGAGTGCTGCCTGACTGCCAGGGCTCCATGTAGAGGGTGCAGGGGCTGAGGCTTCCTGTGGTGACTGCGCCCACATGCGTGCGTGCTCTAGAGCAGCTTGCCCCTTTCCTCCTCCTCTTTGCTGCGACTCGGAGGAAGGCAGCATGGTCAACCCCACTGATAGACAAGGACGCTGAAGCTCAGTGTACTCAGGGAACTCACTTGAGCTCACAGGGCCAGCACATAGGTACAAACCCAAGCCCAGTTGCTCTCGAAGCCCTGCTGTCACTTCTTTGTAACACTGCCCCTCAGCTGGAAAGGGCAGGGTATGCTTGAGTGGTGGCTGCACTCAGGCTTTGGGGTGAGCAGGGGAGAGGCTGAATCCTAAGACATCCACCTGGCCTAAGAGCAGGAAGCTGCAGTTGAGGAGCCTGGTTGGGCTGGGGCAGGGCTTGATTTGTGGTCTTGGGCACTAGAGCCCCATCAAAGGGTTGGGAGGCTGCAGGTCAACCTGGGCCCAAGTGGGACTCTAGATGCTTACACCAGGCTTGAAACACACCAAGCACGACCAGACTGAGCTGGCATCTCTATAAAGGGGGCCCACCTCAGCAGTGGGGCAGCACCACTCCTGCCTGTCCCCTTCCTTAGGAAGACACCACTTGGGTTAAAGCCACCATTTCTCCCCTGCTCCAACCATGCCTGGGCCACCCAGTGCCATCCTTGCAGAAGACTGTGTGAAATGCTTAGGCCTATCAGGAGCGCAGACAGACCCACTGTCACAGGTCCAGGCCGCTCTCAGCACAAGAACCTGGCTGTACCCTCTGCCTGGACAGCTGACTGCAGGTCAGGACTCCAGCCAGTCATCCGCTTCTGGAAGCACATGCTGGTAGCAGTTCGTCTAGCTGCAACAGATTCTCAGGGGCCTGATGGAAAAGGGCATGCCATTCACTTGGGGTTTGGGGGTTAAGAACAAGCTCCAAGCTTCCACAGGAAAAAGGCCTGCAGGGGCAGCATCCTCCAACCTGCCAGAGCTTTAGGACACTGAGCATTGATCTCTGACAACAGCACCTGCAGAGAGAAGTCTTCCTGAGTTCCCTGCCTCCTGTGAGGTCAACCTTCCATCTTTGCCTGGCGACTGTCCTTCCTCAGCTGTGCCTCCTTAGGGAGACAACAGGATATTACAACTTGGCTGCAGGTGTGATTCAAATCCTCAAGCCAGGAGAAAGGCAAGACCTCACAGAGGCTCTTGGGGTCCTGGGTGCAGGCAGGAAATGCAGAGCTCAGACCACCCCACCCCAAGTCTCTGCACTCCATGGGCCAAGTAAAAAGGCCCATTAAAGAAAAGACAAGATGCAGAGTTGTACAGGGTGGTGATAAAGACAGTGAGGCTTACGTCAAGCCCTGCTGCAAGCACGCTACGTGGCTCTTGTCAAATCCTCATGACAACCTCTGGAGGAAGCCAGGGGAGGTAACTGCCCCGTGAGTGATGGGGCAGGACTCAAACATAGTCCATCTGTGTCCAGCACCTGAGCTGTGATGGTGTGGACACTGGGAAGCACCAAGCCAGTGGATACCTCTCAGTTTTGCCTGCCTGATGTCTATTCTGCATTTCCTAGGAGTAACCCAAATTTCTTAGTGAACCATCCCTCCCACCTTGTCCCTTCCAGCTCCAGGGGTGGACATGTAACCCAGCCAGCCCAATTAGAGCACTGTACTCATCCACAGGGATGAGCTCCCGTCCAACCAGGCCAGGAGCAGCCTGTTCCTTAATTGTGTTCCTAACAGCTAGGAAAGAGATGCCATTTTGCTCTCATATCATAAATGATACTTTGGTCCAAAAGTAACAGATAGCCCTGACTGGAACCGTGTGGAGACAGAGCTCTCACAATACACGAAGTTCTGAGGCGGGGCAGACACACAGCAGCCCTCAGGTGCAGGCTCTGCTTCTGGGCAACTCTCCTGCCTCCCAGCCTCTGCAAACCTCCAGCCTGGGAGTAAGGTGGCCGTTCAGCCCCTGAGTCCAGGCGTCACATCCTTCCTCCCTTCAATGTCCAGTGAAGGAGAAAAGCTGTCTTTTCCTGTTGAGTTCCAAAAAGCAGAAAAGCTTTTCCCCAAACCCCTAGGACATGTCCCTTCACATATCATTGGCCAGAGTCAGGTAACAAGCCGCTGCCAGGGGAGGGGTGTTCCACTGTCAGGACGGATCCTTCGATAGCGTGATGTTCAGGAGTCAACCACAAGTAGCACTGCATCTTGGATTTGAAGGAGAAAATGGAAAGCCAGAGCTGTGGGGATTATGCCAGGGAAGGTGCCACCTGAGTGTGTGGCCCACACACGACAGGGCAGAGCCAGTTCTGGAGCCAGCCAGCACTCCTGATGACATCCAGACGTCTCCAGCCCTGAGCCTATCTGTTTCCTATCCTGCTTAAGGCAATTGAAGTTGGGTTTCTGTCCTTTGAAACCAGAGTACTGCCTGATACACAGAGAGCAGTGGGAGGTCTTATGAGGCTTTAAGACAAGAAACTGAGGCTGGAGAGGTGATAATGAAGAGCTATGCTCTGCCTTCCGTGCCATGCACTTTAGATTTTATCCTGGAGACAATGAGGACCCACAGACAGATGAGCAGGACAGCAATAAGGCTTTTCTGTCAGCAGGGCTGGGCTGGACTCAAGAAGAAGACCTGGGAGGCAAGGGGAGGAGCAGCATGCCACAGAAGCGGCCCTGCAGGGCCCGGGAGTTTGAACCTGAGCAGTGGCCATGGTGCTGCAGAGGAAGGGCCTGATCTGCGAGGTCCCTCCTGAGGGCGACAACCAAGGGTGGGCTGATCTGCTCAAAGGGCCTAGCATGGCTTCCTCTGGCTTTCCCAAAACCTTCCTGGTTTCCTTCTCTGCCTTCTCTCCTTCCCAGGGAGCTCCAACCCTGTGCATCTGGTGCACCACACATGGGCACAGAGAGCAGAATCCCGTAAGCTTCCACTGCCAAAAGCCAGACAACCATGAAACATCAAATGCACAGAAACTGCCTTCCTTTATGTATCTTCTGGAACAGAAAATAGTTCAGGATGAAGGTCACTCAATATTTTCTAGATAAAAACACATGGCAGCAGAGGGAGCTCAGCCTTGAGAGCCGATATCCACAGGTGTTGGAAAGCCAGCTCTGCAGCCTCGGGCACCTGATTCACAGTCACTGCTCCCAGAATGAGGCAGCACAGGGACACAGGGAGCATCTCCACTGCTGCTTACTGATGGAGCATCAGGATGCAGCCTTGAAGACAGGGGCACAGCCCCAGCAGGAAGTGGGGGGCTGCCCAGCTCTGGGTTTCTGTAAATGGCCCCAGGGTGGCAGTGACTCCAAACACAGCCCTCTCAGGTCACTCATTACCTATTTCCAATCAAAATCCTACTGAAAAACAACTTGTTTATTTCCTTTATTGGCTTTTTCCTATTATTCCTTTCACCAAATATTTTCTGGGCCGAGCCCAGGATGGATGCCGAGAATACAAAGATGGAGGAGACTCAGCTTCTGCCCCCAGGGAGACCAGGGTCCACAGGAGATGCAGGCACAAAGACAAATACAAGCAGCAGGCAGCACAGAGGACGGGGCACACCTCTACCCAAAGGATGTGAGCCCTGAGCTGTGCTGGAAAGTGAGCATACTGCAGGTAGGGGAAAGCCCGGAAGGGCTCCAAGGAGAGAAGCAATGCAGCATTCCTCTGGGAAGGGGAGTGCACAGCGTTGCTGGAGGTGGGGGAAGGGCAGATCTGGAAGAGTCAAGACTGCAGGCTTGTTTGGGCAAGAAAATGGATTCTTTCCAGATGTCATAATCTTATCTCACCCTTGTGATTAGCTTCAAAGAGCAGAGGCAAAGGTAAAAGTAAAAACACCTACCAGTATTTAAGGTTTTCTTTTCCCTTTCTGGGGGGTTTTCAATGAAGAAGAAAATCAATCTGAATATAGACTTGATTTGGGAGGACTATGTTATCAAATTCTGAACTCTTCCCTAAAAGCTTTATCAACTAAATAGGTATCCAAATATATCTAATAATGTTTGTCATCATTATCAGAACATTGATTGGATTCATAGTGGACCATAGTGGGGTCCACATAGTGGGGTCCGCAAAGCATATTTGCATTTCAATAACTCACTTAGTAGCCCTGAACAGGACCTTACACCCAGGAAGGTGCCCTGACACTTACTACTTCCGGAACCCACAACAAAAATTCTACATGAGAATAATATCAAATGGCAACAATAAACATGACAAGAGTATCAGCTAAAGCTTGTATCTCCTAGATGCCAGGAACCTTATATACATTATCCCTAGTCCACACCACACCACCCTGACCCATCTTCCAGAGGTCCTGGACAGAGCCAAGCACACAGTGGTCATCCCAAGTTTGAGCTGAACCAGTGAAACACGAAGAGGTTGACTGACTTGCCTGTGGACACAGAGCTGGTACATGCCTGCCTTGAGTCCCTCTGCACTCCCAGCCCCTGCTCTCTTTCCCCATGGTCTGTGGCTTCAACAGTTTCTGATGTTACAACCCTGATAGCCAATCATCACCAGAAACATCACTAGCCTGAACCCCGAAGATCAAATCTTATCAGAGGGATTTCTCAGGCTGAAGATCGAGAGAGTCAAAATGCCTCAGCAGAAAGCTGGTGATTCTTAGGATAAGTGGCCTTTAAACTGTTCTAGGGACTAAATGGAATTTTTTTCTCCTTCACTCCCTGTTCCCCAACATTTTCTTGCTCAGCTAATTGGCCCCAGCTGGGAACAGACCTGGGCAACAGAAACGGGGGCCAGGGTATGGCAGGCTCCGCAGGCCAGCCCAGACTGGGAGGGGAATGTGACTGTTTATTTGGAATGGCTGTGCCCTGCCTCCAAGGGAGTTCAAGCGGTCAGATGTGTCCAAGTCTATTAGTGAAATCTGACAGGGATGTCACTGTGTTTGGAAAGAGGGCCATGGCCCCCCATGTCCCGGTGCCCAATAGGCACTGGCCACCAATCATGGCTGGAAGAGGGCAGGGGTGAGAGGAGGTCAGGAGTTCTGAACCTCAGGCTCTGCTGCAATGGGCTCTCGTACATGCCGCAGCCCAGGCAAGGCCTCAGCAAAGCACAGCAGCATGGCCACAGAACTGCCATGGGGCCTGCAGGCCCTGCCCTGGAGTAGAGGCACCACTACCAGCCCAGGCATCTCCTCTGGGGCTCCCGTGACAGCAGGGCACATGGCCAGGGCTGGGTCTTTGGAGCTGGATGAATGACTTCAAGTCCCAGCTCTGCTGTCCAGTTGCTTAAGTTTCCCGGGTCTAGGTTCTCTCACTTGTGGGATGGGCATGCCAGGAAAGAAAGGAACGGGCAGTGCTGGCCATCAGTATGCAATGGTTCTGACATGTTGCCCCCAGAAGCCCAAGATGGTGAGCAGGGGCAGCGACTCCCTGCGAGGAAGCCAAAGCTCAGAGTTAAGGGACCTGACAGGATCAGAAAGAACTTAAGGCTTTTTCTGATTTCAGTCCTTTCCATGCAAAATTCATAAGTTTCTTAGGGCTGCCATAACAAATTACCACAAATTTGATATCTTAAAACAACAAAATATTTCTTCTCTCACAGTTCTGGAGCCAGAAGTCCAAATCGACGTGTCAGCAGGGATGGTTCCCATGGAGGCACCGAGGCAGACTCATCTCCATGCCTCTCTCCTGGCTTCTGGGGGCTTCCGGCAACCATGGGCACCCCTTGGCTTGGAACAACAGAGCTCCAATCTCTGCCTTAGTCTTTATATGGACTTCTCTCTGTGACTCTCCGTGTCTTCTCCTTGTCTGTCTCTTATAAGGACACTGGTCATTGGACCTAAGGCCCACCCTAATCCAGGATGATTTCTTCTTAAGATCCTTACCTTAATTACATCTGCAAGACCCTTATTCCAAAATGGTCATATTCTGAGGTTCTGGTAGACATATTTTGGGGGACCATAATTTAACCTACTATAGTCTACCCTCTGGTACCCAAAATTTACATCCATCCCACATGCAAAATACATTCACCTCTTCAAACATCCCCCAAACTCTCAGTCCATTAGGCCATTAACTCTAAGTCCAAAATCTCATCTAAATTATCATCAGCTCAAAAAGTTCCTAATGTCATCATGTAAGTCACCTAATCAGGTAGGGGTGAGACTCTAGATATGGTCTATCCTGGGGCAAAATGCCTCTCCATCTGTGGACCTAGAAAACAATTTACCTACTTCTAACATTCCAAAAGGGAGACGGTGGAAAAAATACAAGGTTCATTGGTCCCAAGCAAGTTTAAAACACAGCAGGGCAAATTCCATGAGGTTTCAATACCTGAGACTGACCTCTGTGGCTACTCCCCTAGCCTCACTTCTGTTTCCAGAGCCCTGCTCTCAGAGTCATTCTTCCTTTTTTAGTTTTTGAAGGATAACATGTGTTTGTAGCTGAGTTGTTCTATCAGCCTGTTTCTTGTCTGTAGAATCCCAGAAGTCTGACAGCTTTTTATTCATTTGTCAAGTCTCTCTCCCTTTCAGTCCAGTGTTCTTGCTGGTATAACATTCTCAAAACCCTTGAGGGTCTCTTATATACATCAAGGGGTCCATGCCATTAGCCAAGACGGCTCTCCGCATAACTTTGCTATAGAAGTCCATCTCTATTTCTGGTTGCTGCTAAGTTGCTTGGATCTGTGAGTCACACACCTCCTCTCTTCAACAGAAGGTTGTCCAGGCTCACCTTTGGCCTTCTCTCCAAGGTATGCTTTCTCAGCAGTGAATTTCCTAATCTTAACATCCTTTGCAATCTAGAGGGACTGAGAACCTCCGAAATCATCAAGCGCTGATTTCTGTTTGCTAACAGTTCCTTCCTCAATTCATTCCTTTTCCCTCATGTTTTACTATAAGCATCAATGGAGAAACAAGGCAGCATCTTTCACAGTTTGCTTAGAAATCTCCTTAACCAAATGTCTCAGTACATTGCTTACAAGTTCTGCTTTTCCTGACTAGTAAATTAGATCATCAGGCAGTAGACACCAAAAGTGTTAAAAAGTAGGCTGGGGAAAAACAGGTGCACAAAAGTAAAAGGAGAATTAAATTTGTATCTGCCAAGCACCTGCCATGTGCCCAAGTACTAAAGATCAGTAACTGGCATCCTGATAGGCAAGTTCCACCTTTATAAGGACAAAGAGGGTGGCCAAAAAGCTCAGAACAGGACCCCACTCGAACATCCCTGCCTCCTTACCACTACTGACTTCTCTGCCTCAGCCCTTCTCCATGCCCTCAGCCCTAACATTGCAGCCACTGACTCTTATCAAAAACCTTTTTCTCCCTCTAGAACCTCAGGTACCCCCAATTCAAAGTCTACCCCACCCCCCAGAGAGCCCTCTTTTGACACCTCTTTCATACTCCCAGGTCCTCTCCCAAGCTGCAAGCATGTCTTCTCCCAGAGTGGAAGGGATGCCAGGTCAGAGTGGCCCCCAGAGGTCTGACTTAGGAAGCACAGAGACTGGAAAGAAATTTAGTACTGATTCATTTTCTGTTCTAGCAAAGAATCTGCAAACAGTCACCAAAGTAATCTTAATTTTGTTAAATATAAACTGAATCTACTTTTACACTTTTGTGCTTTATTTTTGAAGATTTGCACTTTTAGTCCCTGGCTTAAACTAGATTTTATTCAAGTGGTCTTTTTCTGGGACCAATGGTCTTCAGAGGAGGACATGACAGCAGGTAAAGGAGGGGACTGTGACTCACAGTGTCTGGGGGACATCCTAACACCCAGCTCTGGCCAGGTTCCAGGGCTCCTTGGATATGGTGGGGCCCTGCCATTCGACTCCTCCCACTAGATCCAAGGAGCTCTGGAACCTGGCCAGAGCCAAGTCCTTTCTTTTGTTTTGTCCTTTCTGGTCAGGAGACTCTTCCCTAATACCCCTGGCCCCTGCAGAAGGAAGTAATAGACACACTGCTGTAAAATGAGCTGGGGGGTTGAAACCTCAGGTTGCCTTCATTTGGGGGAACCCTGTTCATGCCTGCCCTCCATGAAATGCCCCTTCCCTATATCCAACCATGCTGCTCTAGATGAGGGATGGCACACGCAAGACATGGGTGCCAGTAGGGACCCTCTCCACTTCCCTCACTCAGGCCAGGTGCTGCTATCATGGCCCTCTCACCCAGCGGGTGATGTGGTTCATTTTATGTGTCAACTTAGCTGGGCCACAGTGCTCCAACTTTATTCTGAGTGTTTCTGTGAAGGTGTTTTCAGATGAGATTAACATTTAAATTGGTGGATGTTGAGTAAAGCAGATGACCCCTATAATGTAGGTGGGCTTCATCCAATCAGTTGAAGGCCTTAAGAACAAAAGGATTAACCTCCTCAGAGAAGAGGGGATTCTGCCAGCAAATGGCCTTCAAGCTGCAGCTCCTCCCTAGGCCTCAATCCTGCCAGCCTACCCTGTAGATTTTGGACTTGCCAGGTTTTATAATAGTATAAGCAAATTCCTTAAAAAACGTATCTATTTATCTATCTGCATCTAATACTAGGTGCATTAGTTGGTGTTCTCCAGCAAAACAAAACTAATAGGAGATACAGATATCTACATATTTACATCTATGTATCTTTACCTATGTATCTATAGATACCTAGATATCTGTATCTCCCATTGGTTCTGTTTCTCCGGAGAACCTTAACCAACACACCTAGTGAGCCAGACAACCTTAAAATGCCTCAATACAGCCTCCAGGTAGCCATTCCCAATTAACATGCAAATTGAAATCATGCACATCCAAGCCTCTCTAGCAGCTAGCTGAGTCCACAGGGCTGAGCACCTCCACTTCCCTGCACTGTAGGCTCCTTCAAGGATTAGAGAACTGCCCTGGACCCCAGCATTCCAGGCAAGGTCTCACATGAATTCTAAGTAGCATGTGTTCCCTACCTTTTATTCTTGTTGAAGGGGAGGGCAGTCAATGAGGCTGTAAGTTTCTCTTGTCGCATAAAGTAAAACTATTAAAAATGCCTTCTAAATAAGGGGAATATCAAGGCACTATCTTTTAAATCAGAGCCAGGCCATCATAGTAGAAGGAGGGGTGATGGGAAGGCACCAACCACTCATCCTTCTCACAGGTCTTCAGAAGAATAATGCGGCATCTGTCGATGGCCACCAGGAGTGCAAAACCAACCTGGATTTCTTCCAGATTCTGTGATTCTGAGCATCATAAGATTCACGTCATGTTTAATTTGAAATTACTGTGGTTAAGAAAAAGGTACCCAGAAATAACTCCACACATACTTGCCACCCTGACGTACAGCGTCCAGAAAGGGAGGTTTCCCCTCCAGCAGCCCCACTTGTTAACCATGTGATCTCAAGCCCACCTCACCTTCTGGAGCCTCAGTTTCTTTATCTACACAGAAGACCTACTTGGGAACACCTCCTTGAGGCACATCATAGGCCTCCAATAAACAGGCGCTATGAGAATTAGGGAGAGCAGCAGTCCTAGAATCTGAGTTGAAAGACTTGGAGCCGGGCGGGGCCAGGCAGCCAGAGGGGAGGTGGGGCGGAGCAGGCAGTGGGAGTCCCAGGGCAGGCACAGCAGCAGGCTCAGCAGCTGAACAGACAAAGGGACAGTCCCCCTCCCTTGCTGCCAGCGAGGAGGCCAGAAGGGAAGACAAGGTAAGACTGACCTTGAGGGCAGGGATCTCCACACTGTCACCGAGGCTGATGGAGCCTGAAAGGATGGTCCCTGTCATCACAGTGCCTTGGCCTTTGATGGAGAAACAGTGGTCCACAGACATGAGGAACGGTCCCGAGGGATCTCTCGTTGGGATGGAAATCTGGGACGTCAGGAGCTAGAAAAGAGAAACTGGTGCCACAGTCCGTGGGGAGAGGAGCCAGATGGGGCAGGGCAGAGGAAGGCAGAGAATGTGGCTGACCAGCAGTTCATCAAGGCTGCCAAGGTGAACTCAGCTCAGAGGTCCATGCCCTGGCAAGGTGGACAGGAGATCAAAACCACCTAACTCCCTGACTGCATTCCAAGCTTCTGCCATGCTCTCAGCTCTTTCCGCTCAGTCTGAAGGAAAGGGCACCTGGAGAAGCCTCGTCTGTCTTCTCCCGTGGGACTGCTACAATGGTCTGTCCTGCCAGGCCCTCCATGCTGCAGGAGAGTAGCCACTAAAGGACACCCTGTCGCATTGCTCCCTGGCCTCATGCATTTCCCCAGCCTCCTGATGCCTTCAGAATTTAAAACTCCTCATCATCTAGCCCCTAGGTACCTTTTAGGCCTCATCTTCCGCCACTCCCTGACGTATGCCAGAAGCCAGCCGCCAGCAGGCCTAGAGTTTTACCAGCTGGCTGAGCCTCGCCTGTACTGCAGCAATACCTCCTCTGGACAGGCTTCTCTGTATGGCCACGTTTCCCCTGCCCCCATCACTATAGCTAACACTCTCCTGTGATCATCTCTTTATTATCTCCCCCATAGGGCTGTGAGAGCCAGGTATCTCCAGTAGCTGGCATCATGCCTGAGAGAATGACAAGTGAAAGAAGAAGAAACAAGGGGATGTGGGGAGAGGGAGGAGGAAAGGATTGTTCCCAGGGTCCTTCCTTCTCTGCGGACTCCACACGCCTCAGCCTCACCAGCCGATTCTCCTCATGCCACCTGTGTGCCGGGAGATGCTGTCAGGGCTCATCACCAATAAACAAATGAAAACAAAGACTAGGATTCCTTGTGTTTGCTACTTTTTCACTTCGTAAGGGAACAGGCTGTCAAAAAAGTATTCAGTGGTGAATGTTCCAAAGTCTTAGTCTTGTGATAACAATTCTTTTGGAAAAACACTAGAGATTCAAACAAAACAGGCTTGGTCTGAGATTTATGTAGGGGCTTCTTAAAGGAATATACAAACATCTTTCAAAGCAGCATTTTTGAGGATTTCGCTTTAACAAAAACAACTATCCCAGGCTCCCAGACAAGTGCTCTCAGGAGCCTGATGAAAAAGTAACAAAAGCCTCACCCAGAAAACATTTGTTTTGCTAAGCTGACAAGATCAGCACGTGTAAATCACAGAAATGGTGGCAGTGCATGTACGTGGTCACATCTCATCTTGGCTCTGCGGAGCCAGGTGCAGGGGGGCCGTGAAGCTGACCCCAGCGATCAACCTGGGTCTGAATCCCAGCTCCACCGTGTAACTCGCTGCCAGACATGGGTCAAGTTATTTAACATCTTTGAATCTCAGACTCTTCGTTGGTATATGGGGATAAATAATTTCAGCCTCCCTGAGTTTTTGTGAATGTCAATGATCCTGTATGTAAAGAACTTAGTACAGTGCCTGGCCTGTAAACATCAACATCACTGTAACAGTAAGCACTGACATGGCACTGTACCGAGCACATTATACACATTAACTCATTTAACCCTCACAACTCCACGAGGTATGTGCTATTATCTTCCAAGTGAAGGAACTGAGGCAAGAAAGAGTAGATCATTTGCCTGAGGTCAGAGAGAGTGGTGGTGGAGCTAGCCCCTGAACCACAGTCCAGCCCCAGAGCCATGCACGTTGCTACTCCACCCGGCTGAACTGTCCTGAGCACTCTGTGGAGGAACTCTGTGGCTCCATTCTCACTGCTACCTTCCTTAGTACCAGCACCATCAGCACCCACACACACCCTTCCTGATGGATGACTGGGCTCCCTCCCTGACTACCAGCACAAGTTAGGAAGAACAACCTGGGCCTCAGCCCCACAGCTTCCGAAGATAAGCCTCCCATCTTTGGTGGAGGTGCCCAGGATGGAAGCTGCATTGCCCCTGCTGTTGGGCTCATGTCTTTCACCCCTGCCTCACTGGCCCCCAGCCCAGGTGGGGTACTGGAGGAGCTGATACAGTCTGAAGGACTGGAATGGATGTCACGGTCCCAGGGTTCCAGATGGGTGGGAGCTGCTTTGTCTGAGTGTAGGTATGACAAGAGAAAGGAGAAAGTGAGGCACAGCAAGGTGTGACGAGCTCTGCAGAGTTTATGGCTGGAGGGTGAATCATGGGCTTCAGTGAACCTTAGGAGTCCTAGTTTGGGTCTACCTTTTTGAGGGAGGTGGGGGAGTTGTGCTAAGGTGTTAACAGGGAGGTTAATGGAACCAACTGAGTCCTCTTGCTAGGGCTGCCTCTCTTTCTCTCTCAGGGGAGAGAGGGACACAAAGGGGCTGGCCTGAGCAGCGCTGGGGCTAAAGGGCAACCTGGATTCAAGATGACAGTACCTCAATGAGCTCTGGAATGCCCTGTGGAGCTTCAGTTTCGGGGGCCTCTGGTCCCCCCGGCTTGGCCGCCACGGGTATAATCGGTGCACCTCGGAACCTGAAATGGAAAATAAGTCCCATCACAGTTACAGAGATCAGCAACATGGACACAAAGCACGTCCATGAAGCACCTGGCACAGTACCAAGTGCAGTGAGCATCCTCTTCTCTCCCCACATCAACCAAGCCTAGAAGACAGCACCACTGTACTAGCACATGGCACATGATGCAATGGAGGCCCCAAATTTCCCCGTCTGGGGGAAATGTCCCTGCATTGGACATCAGAATTTTAAAGGGCTCTCTTAGATATTAACCTCCACTTTCAGAGCACTCCCTAAGGAGGCAGCAGTGATCCTGGCCCCTAGGCTTCTGAATAAAAGACCTCCTTGAAGAAGACCAATAAATACATCTCAGCCTTCTGAAGAGATGCAAGAAATAATAGTGACCAAAAAGTATCTGCAGATGTACCTGGAAGCACGCCTCTACAATCTCAGTTTCTAATGCAGAGCATTCTTGCCTAAACTCTACTAGCAAAGCCCCCGCATCTTTAAGAAGACATACTTATTCTGTGTGGACATTTATCTTTCCCATTTAAAAAAAGGAACATTGTTAGGGCAAAAAAAAAAAAAAAAAAAAGAGGGAAAGAGAAAATAAATAACCCATAATCCCATCATTTGGTGTATTTTCTTCCAACCATGGTTTTCCCATGCTTTGCCAAGGGATTCTTTTTTTCAGATTTTGGTTATAGTATGTATACGATTTCATATCCTGCTAATTTATTTACCATTATATCACAAAGAACTTTCTGTTGAATGACAGCAACAACAATAACAACTTACATGGCTGAGCCAAGCCTATAATGTGAGGTTTAAATGAAAGCATCTACAACACATGATGGAGTTGTTGCCATCTTATAGATGAGAAAATGAGGCTTAGGGAGTCTAACTGATTTGCTCCAAGTTGTTGGCTATAAACCTTAGAGCCACATTTGAACCCAGCCCATCTGAGTCTGAAGCCAGGGCTCTCAGTCTCTTTGTCACACTTCTCTCCACCTGGGCCTGTTCTTTCATTGTTGACACCTGGACAATGGTACGACCCAGAATTTACATGCTTGTACATGCTTTCCTCCATTACTTATTTGTGATATTTCAAATTTTTCACTATTATAAATTACACTGTGATAAACATGTCAGCGGGCATGAATGTTTTTTTTTTTTTTTTGCCTTGGCTGTGGGATGAATTCGTGGGGTACACATCTAAGAGTGAATACTCACTAATAGATCAGCAAAATGATACAGCAAGGACATCTGAAAAGCCCTCTTCCATGGAAACAAAGAACACTGGCAAAAATGATCAGAATCAACTTGTTCAGAACTCTGGAAATTAACCAAAGGCTTGAGCAATCTGTGGAGTGTTTATTCAAGAAGAGTCTCAGTAAAACCAAGTGAGCTTTTGATGTTTTAACTTGCCCTCTTCCTATGCTAACTCTGCAGCTGTCCTGAAAACCAATCATGGTGAAAACCAGTAGCATGCCAGGCACTGAAAGGGGCAGAATGGGTTTGAGCTCCTTCAAAGCCCTTCTTCCAGAGAACGATCATGATTTTCCAGTCTGGTGGCTCCCTGGAAGGCCCTACTCACAATGCTATATTTATTTGACCTGCCTTGGAGCTTGCTTAGTGCAAATAGCCTTTTCCCTGGGGGAGTTTGTTGAAAATAATCAGAGGCAATTGTTTAACATCACAGCTGCCTGAGGGAAGCTGTGATATTTAATAGCCAAAAACTTCTCAAATTTCATGGAAAATATCTACACTTTCAAGAATCTCAATAAACTCTAAATAGGATAAACTCAAAGACACCCACACCTGGCACATTACAATCTAACTGTTGAAGGCCAAAGACAAAGAGAATCTTGAAGCCATCAAGAAAGAAGCGACTGAACTCATGTACAAGGAATCCATAATAAGATTTGCAGCTGGTTTCTCAGGAGAAATCGTGGAGGCCAGAAGGTATCAGGATAATATATTCAAAGAAGTGAAAGTTAAAAATAAAAATAAAAAAAATCTACCAACCAAGAATTTTATATGCAGTAAAAAATGTTACAAAAATGAAGGGAAACATGGGATCACCACATGATCCAGCTATTCCACTCCTAGATATATATCCAAAAAGAACAGAAAACAAATACTCAAAGAAGTACATATCCATACATGTCCAGAGTAGCACTATTCACAATAGCCAAAAAGTAGAAACATCTCAAATGTCTATCAATAGATGAATGGATACACAAACTATGTTGTGTATATATACACAACAGAATATTATTCTGTTGTGACATAAAAAGACATGACATAAAAAGACATGAAGCATCAATACATACTTCAGTGTGGATGAACCACAAAAACACTGTGCTAGGTGAAAGAAGTCAGACACAAAAGGTTGCATATTGTGCAATTCCATTTATATGAAATACCAGAATAGGTAAGTCCATAAAACAGAAAGGAGATTAGTAGTTCCCAGGCTGGTGGCGCACAGAGAATGAGGAGCAAAGGGCTTAATGAATACAATTTCCTGTTGGGGTAATGAAAATGTTCTGGAATTAGATAGTGGTGATGGCTGTACAATTCTTTCCACATTGAAAGTATGAATTTCATAGTATGTGAATTCTATCTCAATTACAGAGAAAATAGATTGAAAGGTATGCTACCTTTTCCACTACCACAATGGACATCTAAGATGCCTATTTCACTGCACACATAACAAAATAGTCTTTTAAAAATTATTTTTAATATATACTTCATTTTAATTTGTATTGCATTGCCTTAATAAGTAAGCCATACAATATTGAACCACTTCCAATTGTTTGTATACCCAATGTATTTTCAGGAGACATTTCTGTAGCACTTCTAGTTCTGGAGTTTGTTTCCGCCAGGAAGAGCCACCCTTACCTTCCTGACACTGAGGCTTGCTCTAAGTGCTTCTCTGTATATAGTCTAGCATGCAACACAGTGGGAGTGGCAGAAAGAGACAGGACCTTTTACCGAGCACCAATGGTACAAGCAATTGTGCTAGAAGCTTTCCAATCCCCATCTTCTCATCACAATCCTGAAAGGTGGGTATTATTCTTCCTCCCCCTATTTCATAGAAGAGGGTCCTAAAAGTTTGGCTAGCTTTGGTAGCTTGTTCCAGGCCACAGGCTAATGAGTGGTGGGGCTGTGATTTAAAGCCAACTCTGAGTTTACTTTAAACCTGAGACTATCATGAGAACAATCCTCCATCAGCCTAGGTTGGAGGCAGGGGCATGTGTCCCTTCTCAAATCCATATGAGAATTTGGAAAGCAGCTGATCTTCAAGGATCAGGGAACATATATTTAAGTCCTGTAGCCAGATTAATAAAACCCTTGCCCTTAATTACATACATTAAATATATGTAATTTTAGTTCTCAAACCAACGAAAAAACGATATGATAGCTATAATTATAGTACCCAATACTATGACAGTTTGCTATCACTTTCAAATTGCAGACATAAATTTATTGAATTCTTAACAACCCTCTAAGGTAGGAAGAACTTCTGTCATCATTCCCATATTCAGAGTCACACATTCATTCTCCAAATATTGGTGAAGCACCCACCATGCACACAGCACCTGGCTAGATGCTTTCACATGACTCCATTTAATCCTCACAGCAATGATGTCAGGTATTATATTATCATTTTAGAGATGAGGAAACTGAGGCACAGAGAGGTCAAATGATTGCTAAAGGGTCGCAGGTGAAGCAAATAGCAGAAGCAAGGAGGAATCCAGAGCTCAGCACTCTGGTCCCAAAAGCCCTATTCCAGAGCCCTGTCCTTCCCACGGTGCTGGGATCCCCAGAATGACCTCCAGCATCCACTCCCCAGGGACACTGACCTGGAAGATGGCATCAATGGTCTTTCAAAACACAAAAGCAGAAGATTGAGCCCAGTGCCAGCCTGGGCACAAAGAGGGGATGACAAAACATCAAGGTCGCTCTGCTCCCTCCCTTCCTCCTCCTCTCTCAGGGTTGACCTGCACATAGACCAATTGTCCCACATCCTCTTCACAAGCTTTGTCAAATTTGTGTGCCATCTAAGCTATTTGCTCATTTATTTTCCTTAAAAGAATTAATGTTCTTACTTAAATATATTTATTTTAAAACGCAATTTCATGCCACTATCTAAATGGAAAACCACCACATTCCACAAATAAAAGGTAGAGTAGAAGCCCTCCCACCACTGGTCACTTTAAGGACATCCATGAGGCAACGCTCTGCACTCCCTCTGCAAAACCTGCTCCTGGCTCCTAGCATGCCAAACCTCCATGCTGGGGGGGGACAGCTTGACGCGCACAGGCCACGCTCAAGAGGTGAGTACTTCCTGCACTTTTGCCTCCTGACCTTTATGCTGAACCTGGTTATGCTGTAAAGTTGGTAATGCCCGTTATAAGCTTCACTGTAACAACATAATTTAATTTAGTATTATGAAACAACAGTGTGAAAATAGCTGTTTCTATGAAAACTAAATTGAATGCTCTGGAAAGGTGTGATAAAGACAAATCTCCTTAAAATCTGGTGTTAAACTAGGTGTGGATAAGAAAACCATAAAAGACCTGCAGGGAGGTTGTGTGAAAACAGAAAAATCCTGTACTCAGACTTGCTTCACTGAAATTGTGGGCAGTGCACTGCATTCGGGAGTGGTTTATAGATGAAAGGTGACTTGGAGCTCTAGTTAGTGGGCTCATCCTGGAAGAAAAGACGAGCTGGGCAGAACATATCCCAGCAAGTGGCAGGTGGAACAAAGCCGTGGAGCCCCTCTGGAGAGCATCTGAGCAAAGAGAAAGAAACTGCTGTTCAAATACTCACAACAGAATTAAAGTCAGTCACTGAGGCTTTCTCTGGGAAATCTTACTAGAGAGCACCTCCACAACACTGAGAAAACCGCAAAAACTTAGAAGATGTGACCAAGAGAAACAATCATATGCAAAGAAAAGTATGCCACACTTGGATAGAAAAAGCCAGAATGATCACAGTTGCTGCCCACAGTGATGCAACTGGAGCCTACACGCTACAACTTTTCCTTATTGCCAAATCAGCAAACTCTAGAGCTTTCAAAAACATAAATTCTGGGCCAGGCATGGTGGCTCACACCTGTAATACCAGCACTTTGGGAGGCAGAGGCAGGAGGATCACTTGAGGCCAGGAGTTCTATACCAGCCTGGGCAACACAGAGAGAACCCATCTATAAAACAAGTGTTAAAAATTAGCCAGATGTGGTAGCACATGCCTGTAGTCCCAGCTTCTTAAGAGGCTGAAGCAGAAGGATTGCTTGAGCCCAGGAGTTCAAGGTTATAGTGAGATCCAGACTGGGCAACAAAGTGAGACTCTGTCTCAAAAATACATACATACATACTGACCAAGAAGAACATACAGAATATAGCTTACTTAACTGTATTCAGACCAAATGAATTAAAGATAACATATAGATTATAAGTGATCATGCATGGAAAACTGAAATTATAAATGACACAAAAACCAAACATTCTTCAAAAGCACAGCCTGAAGAAGTGGAGTCAGGCCCGAATTCAGAACTCAAATCCACATGCAGCCAAGAAGCCCCAGACCAGCCTGGCCCGGCTGCCAGTGTCTTGGTGCTGATGAGGAAAGGGAGGCATGATGCTGCGAATGTTGTATTTCTTCTGTAACAGCTTTTATTGTTGATTTTATTAAATAAATATGCACGTATATGTTTTAAGTTAAAATATTATGTTTAAGGCATGAATGTGTCATTTTTTATGATTCTCTGCTTCAAGGGACTTTTTTGATTAACCAACCACAGTCCAATCTCAGGGGACAAGAAATCTTCTACTACTGTAGCTACAAAAATAAACACAAAGAAAACAAAATAGAGCTATTAAATTCTAGCTAGATACTATTACCTGCTGAAGGCACTGAGCCTGGTTAAAAAGTTAGGGAAATCTTTAAGACACAACAGTACCAATTTGAGACATTTTTTCTGACTTAATAAAAGAGATTTAAAGATAACTGAAGAAGGTTAACTTTCATTGCAATTTTGCCACATCCAAGCACAGTCCCAGATGGATCTTGTGTGACATGTGGTGCACGTCCCTCACTCTGAATAATACTGCCTCCATCTTCCTCAGACCCTAGGCCATCCCCTCACATTCCCCCACTATAGCCCCAAACAGAAGCCAGGCGAAGGATCCAGCCCAAGAAGAGGCACCTGAAGGGAAGAGCCCAAGCTTGCTGCCAGGTCTATGGGGGCCTTCCAGGAACCCATGCTGATACCCCAGCCCCGGCCCCGCTCCCCAGCCCCTCCAAGCTCTTCCCTGGACTCACATCCAGAGACTCCTACAGCCCCAGATTTCTCTCCTCTTGGGACAAAAGCCCTCTTGCTTGACACCCCCACCCTGCCACTTTCAATCAACATCCAATTTCTCCTTCTTCTCATATTTCAAAACAAATCCCACTTCTGTTTACCCATCAGAGCTTATGGCTGATTTTCTTACAAGGTCACTTCTGTCTCCTTCCCTTTTAAGTGCAGGACATTTACTAAGTACTTCCTCTGCGCCAGTCTCCACGGAACGTGCACAATGAATACACAAAGGGCTCCCAAGAGCAATGGGGGTGAGGGGCTGGGGCACCAGACCAGGGTGCCAATTCCATGTGACACTAAGAGGAACGGGGGCCAGGGTTCGGGGAAGCATGGCAGAGAAAGAAGTTCCTGAAGGTCAAGAGCAGCTCCCAGTGGTCAACTCAGTGCTCTTCCCTTGCAATCGCTTTCCTCTGTGGCATCTGACCAGGTGACTGTCCAGCAGTGGCATCCTTCCCTCCTCCCTGACAACCCCATACCTTTATTTCCATGGCCCTTGACTATCCTTCACGTCCCCGAGAGGCCCTTCTTCATCACTCATGCGCCCACTGCAGGCCTCCCCAAAGAGTGGCCAGAGAGGCCAACTCTTCCCCTGCATACTGACCATGAGGGCCACAGCCCCCTTGTGGGCCGCTCCCAAACCGCATCCCCAGCCAAGCCCCATTCCCAGCACTCTAGTTCTACCCTGCCATCTGCCATCAGGCTGCCTCCTGGCCTCTAATTCCTGGCCTCTGATATGGGATGGCATTGCCCTGGCCTCTGAATTAGTCCTCTCTGACTGCATGGTCACTGATGTCTCTCATCAGTCACTGCATCCAATTGGTTCTCCTCTTAGGATCTTGCTCCAATCCATCCTGATTTTCATTCTTAATGGCTTCCACTCTGGGTCAGGCTCTTCTCACCCCAGGCCTCCCAACTGCTCTCCAAAGTGCATGCACAGACCACAGCTGTGAGAACCTTCCAGCAGCACCACTCTGAGGTGCTGGCCCTCTCCCCTCCCCACTCTCAGGACTCTGTGACTGTCCTGGGATGAAGTCCTGGCCCAGGGTGGTACACAAGGCCCTCTGGGATCTGCTCCAGTCTCCCCACACTGATTCATCTCAGCAAAAGCCCTGGGTATCTGCATTTTTAAAACCCAAGCTCACACTGTTGCCCTCACCTCCTTCCCCTCCTCTCCTAGGCAAACCTCACCCAGGCAATGGCAGCCTGAGGCAGGATTCCAGCTAGAAACCTAGGACTAATTTCCATTCCACAGCTGGTTTATGCGATTTCACCTCACTCAGCCCCCATTTCCCTGTCCAACATGAGATGGCATGACCTAGATCACAGGGTTGTCTCCCAGACTGAATCGGTTAACATGTGTAAAAGTGCCGTGTGGAACTCACGAGGAGCCCTGGGAACTGCTGCAACCACCAGTCGTCTATACCAGCACAACAGCCACAGATGATGGCACCCCTTCCCAGTGGCCAGTTCCTGGCCTGTGCTCCATATTTTGAACCTCACCCCTGCTTAGTCATCACATGCCCTTCTAGAGTTAGTCCTCATTCCTGACTCCCCAGCCAGAAGCAAACTTGCCTTCCTCAGAATCCCCTTGCTACTCTGAGGAGCCACTTCAGCTCTGGCCTTTAACTCCGACACAAAGCAAATTCCCTAGCTCACCTTCGCCATCATCCAGGTACTCAGGCTCTCCTGTCCAACTGCACAGGAAGCTCCTCAGTTGGGAGGAGCTTAATTCAACTGGCCTTTAAAACCTCATCCCACTGCCCTGGCCTGGTTGGGAGCAAACCCTTGAAGAAAATCAGATTTTTTTCTTTTTTAAAGACAAGAGACGTAACTCTGAGGAAGCTGAAGTTCCCTAAAGAGCAACTTAAACAATCTCAGGGGCCACTCATTGCTCCAAAGGTCAGTGTGACACGATGATTTCAGTTCAGTAAGGAGATTCCAAAGAGGGCCACAGACCCACCTGTCAATCAGTTCTAGAGTAGCTCAGACATGACACACTGCCCCCACAGAAGTAGCGGGGCTTAGGTCTTTGCCTTGAGAAAGGCAATACCCAGAAGGACAAAAGAGAGCTTGGAGAGGGAACGAGGGAGGGAAAAATAATTCACAAAGGAAGGAACAGTGAGGAGAGGGAAGGAAAGAGGAAAAGGAAAAAATAACACTGAGGAAGAGAGACAGAAAAGAAGAAAAGAAACACAGGAGAGAAAATGGGAAAGGCAGGAAAAGAACTCAGACTTCTCTGCGACCTGCTCTGTACCAGGCACCAAGCTTGGTGGTGTCCATACCATCTCAATAGTCCATGGGCAGGGGTTCAGGTACCATATTCAGAGAAGCTATGACTCGCCCAGGGAGCCAGGGAGTAAGTGGCTGGTCTGCAGGAGTCCAGAGTCCAGGCCTCTCCCATAGGAGAAAGAGATGGGTAGGAGAAAAATCTATTCTTAGCACGAAGGCTCCATCCGCAGAGCTGACGGAGCCAAGACCAAGCCATGTACACTGGCTCTGCTTCCACGCCCTGAGCCTGAGGCTCAGAGGGACACAGAGTTGTAGGAACGTGCATGGGGAATTCCAGAGATTACCTATAAAGCTTTTGGAAATTCAACTATCTTTATCCAAACCCTTTTGGGCAATATATAGTAATAGAACATAACAGTGTGTTGGGCCAGGTGTCTGGCCCTTTCCCAGACTCAAGAGAAGCTAGCCTTCCCAACACGCTGAACATGCTACACATTAGGGCACCCTGGCTTCTGGCTGTACAAGGGAGACCCAGCTCCATGGAGCCCTGGGGAGTAGAGTTTAGCAGCCACTGGATTGGTGTCTGGGGTCTAGGAGTACAAGGGGCTCCAGCCAGAGACGGCAGCTGCACAGCTCTGTAGTGCGGGCAGGAGCTGACCAAGAGCTCATTCAAGGACTGCTGTCCCTGCCATCCCACTGTCTCCTCCAGACTTCCCTGGCAGCTACAGTATGTTGCGGTGCTTGCTGGGCCTAGACGTGCTGACTGTGTATGCAAGCTGACGTTCGTTAGCACACAAAAAAAGTTTCAGATAAATATATATGTGTATGTGTGTGTATATACATATATATATGAATTTATAATCCATATAAAGATATATAAACAAATAGAGTATAAATAAATTTTACCTTTGGGATAGTAGATTCAAAACAGCCAACATTTATTAAGCCTCACTTTTCTCAATAGTCAAGCCAGACACAAAACCTACCTCTTAGGAAACTGTAAGGATCCGACTGATTCCACGAACTATGCATGCGAAACCCCTAGTACAGTGCCAAGTACACAGCAGGTTCTCCACATGTTACAGCTATTATTCCTACATATCCATGGTGTGCCAGGCTCCACGTGAAATGCTCCCTCATATTAAACGCTATGAGACTGAACTTTTCAGCTCCCCTTTTACAAAGGAAGAAATAGCAGCTCAGAGAGATGGAGTGAGTCGCCCAAGCACACACAGTTAGTCAGCCACAAAGCTAGTATGGAAAATACACCTAGTCAAAGTCCACTCAGTAGCAGAGAAATTCCTTGAGATTGGCATTCAACCCATTCACAGGGAGGGAGGCAGGATCAATGGAGTCCCTGGTGGGCTCCAGACAGAGGGCTCTGGCTAAAACAGACAGAAGGAAATAGAAAGTGTTTAAAAAGCAGGAAGAAACACAAAGGGAGTCTGGGGGAATGATGTATCAAGGATGCTGTCAGATGATAACATTTAGTGGAAAAATAAACAGAAAAGCCTAGAACACAGAACAGTGTCAATGCTGTGATAACAACTACCTCAAATTATGTACACGCAGGAAAGACTGACAGGGATCCTGGGGGAAAAACACTTTAATTTGATGCATTGAGAAGATTGTGGGTACATTTTTATCTTCTGTTTTGATTTCTGTTAACATTGATAAATGCTTATGCAAGAGTAATTTTAAATGCTTTCAGAGATAAAGAAATCACAAAGAAGAACAAAGAGTTTGACTACATAAAAATTAGAAACTTCTGCATGTCAAAAAAAGCAACTAAAATGGAAAGACAACAAATGCCAAAGACTTATTTGTAGCAAATATGATAGAAGGGTTAACAGCAATATCTTTACTAATATTAAACACTCCCAAAAATTAAAAAAAAATTAAAATTGCAAGAGGCAAACAGACAAAATTTTTACATGGGCATAATTCACACATACAAAAGCACAACTGTTCAAAACACTTCAGGAAATAAAGAACCACAAATTAAAACAAGAACAAAATACCATTTCTACTAAGTTACCATTTCTACTAAAACACTATTTTCTACTAAGTTTCAAGTATAGTTTAAAATTATAAACCAAAGTAATCTGCTGACACCTGTGTAAAATGGTAGAACACTTCTGGAAAATAATATGGCAATGCACAGCAAAAAGTTTAGAAATGTTCAGACCCCTTGATCTAATAATCTCATACCTGCAAATCTATCATGAGGAAAAAGGTGAAAATACAGTTTAATGATGTACAGAGATGTTCACCTTAAGGCTTTATTTTTAAGAACAGAAACTTAAGCCAGTCTAGTAGGTCAACAGAGTGGTGGTTACATGAGCAAATGATATGTAAAATGTTAAGTAATAAAAGCAGAAATAAAAATGTACATGCCTCATGACTACAACTATATGTAAAGAAAAGATGGGGGGAGGACTCAGCAAAGTTGCAGGGTACAAGTTCAAAAATCAGGTGTGTTTCTATCCACCAGCAATGAACAATCCAAAATAAATTAA